>NC_000018.10:52131242-52431908 GCF_000001405.40 Homo sapiens | reverse complement strand
AAGGGATCATCAGGCGAGATGGATGGAGGGCCTGAAAGCCATCCCCTTCAGAGAGAATGGGCAGTGCAAGATGAATCAAATGGGGCTTGACATTTCTGTTACATGAAGCTTATTGGTGAGACACTTGATAAGTGGTGATTATGCCTCGTGAAAAAAGGCTAGTGTCTCTGGAACATTTGTGGCCTCGGAATTTAGGATGCATGGCCAGGCTGAGTGGAGCTACGACCCTTCACTGTACTTGTTGCAGGGGTGTTCACTGAGCATTTCATCTGGCATTGGAACCATAAACAGCCAAGCCCATCTAATTCTTCAAAAGCACAACATATTATTTACCTTTAAGACGAACAATACTTTTTTCTTTTTCTTCATTTTTTTCTTCTTCTTTTGAGAACACAGAAAATCCACAGAATTTTTCCCCTTTTGAATATGCTACACTTAGCACAGTCCGTGGCACTAATTGGATTCTCGACAAATATATGTTGTATTGAAAGGGATAGGAGCCTAACTATTACACCCCCAAGGAATGTTCATTCACTTATTCAAAGAGAAAGTGAATGCTGATCTTTTTTTTTCTAAATGTTCTCTTCTTTCTTTATTATTATTGCTTTTCTTATTTTTTTTCATCAATCTTTACCTCCGGGACTAGAGCAGTGATTCACAAATGTAGCAAGCCTCCAAATCACCTAGAGGACTTGTAAAAGTGCAGCTTGCTGGGTCCCAACTCCAGCATTCTTGATTCAGTATATTTGGGTGAGTGTCCAAGGATTTACATTTCTAACAAGTTCTCTGGTGATGATGGTACTGCTGGTCCAAGAACCACACTTTGAGGATCACTGTGAAGGGTATTAAGGGCAAGTGGAAGTACCTTTCCATATGTGTCCATCTTTTGATGGGCTAATCCCTCCAGTTTTGTGGGGTGAACCTAAACCACTCATTCTGAGAAGCCAAAAATAAAGAGTTTGTAAATTCCTCTAAAAGGTTTGGGCATTAAAAGAGGATCAAGAAGTTTTATAGACAGTAATTTAAAGTGTCTAGTGAAAGCAATCATGCTTTTAGGTGCTGCCTGGAATTTTCTTAGTTAAAAAAATTATTTGAGAGTGTTTTCTCCATCCCTGAATTCACTATGTGCATTATTTCAGCATTTATTTCTTCCTAAACAACTGTGTTTCACTTCAATAGGAAATTCCCTATTGGAAATGCCATATAACTAGTACACTACAAACATAAACTGGCTTATTCCACAGCGGTTTTGCACAGCTCCTCTTTGTCATTTGTATGTATGTAAGAAATGAGAATTAATGAGTATTTTTACTATCATCCTCCATAGATTCCTACCACAAACCCAAAGCACCCCAGCACATTCATCATCTACCAGGCTCATCACTGTCCCAAGCTTTCCCTTCCCTAGCAAACAGAATCATCTGCTACTTGGCTGCCTTAGGCAAGAACCTCCGAGTCACACTTGACTCTTCCTTATCCCTACACCTCACATCCAATTAACCAATGCATTTTTTCTTGTACTGTAAAAGTATGTTGCATTCACATCTTTTTTTTTCTCCCTCACCACCGTTGCCTTGGTCCAGAAATACATCCTCATTTACCTGAACCATTGCAGCACCCTCCTGATAAGCTGCCATCTTCAGTTTCCCTTCATTTTCATTTGCCTTTCACTTGACTGTCAGAGTTATGTTTCTAAGAGATGTATTCTTATTACTTTCACGTCTAAAACCCTCCCTAGGCTCTCTGCTACCAAGAGAATGTAGATTGGGTGTCTCTTGGGAGCTCTAAAAGCTCTTCAGGCTCAGTTTGATCCTAGCTCACCTTTTCAGTACAACTTCTCTTCCACAAATATTTTGCATATACTTTATTCTCTGCTAAAATCTGCTTTATGCTCTGTACAGCTTGTATCTTTCTCCTACTTTAAATATTCTTATACCTTATCCACCTCTCAAATCCTGTTGATCCTCCCATGACCAGCTCAAAAGCCATTATTTCTCTGTAGCCCCAATACCTTACCCACCTCTTGACTTGTTAGAGCAAAATCTGCTTTTCCTTCTCTATAAGCTTCTTAAAAGGAGGAGCCAGGTTTTAATTACTTTAGAATTCCCAGCATATCTATGACTGTTACTGGTAATAAAGGAATGTTTCTTTGAGTTGGATAGAAATTAAGATTTGTTATAATGGAGCTTTGTTTGGATGAGTGTTATTCTGATGGAATGACAATATTCTCAAAGGAGAGATTTAAGAACATGGCCATTTTCTGCTTTAGATTAGGCTTAGTTGATTGAAACAGGTGAGAGAAGCCTTGTTGCTATTTGTTTTTCAGATACAGAAACAAATAAAATCAAAGGGGCCCATGACAAATTCATCTGATTACATAGAAAACGTTCACACAGCCAAATAAATTAAGTCAAAAAAAAGTTAGATGGTGAAAAGTCATTAATATGCTCTTATCACTCTAACATCAAACGTAAAGAGTGCTTTAGCATCCTAAAAAGCAGCAGATGTTTTTGTTTTTTTCAGAAAATTCAAGGGTAATGTCTATTAGCAGAAAGACACTCACACATGCCTCAGTGTGAATCTCAGCTTTGTCACCTACCAGCTGTGTACTTCGATGCAATTTATACAACTTGCCTGAGCCTCAGTTTCCTTATTGTAAATTAGTGATAGTAACACCTAATATATAGGTTGATGAGTAGACTAAATGAGATACTGTGCTTAAAATGCTTAGCGCAGTACCTAGTACTTAACAGACACTCAATAAATGGGCCTCAAAGACAGTTATGGACATCAGTAAAAATTAGTCACTTTTGTGTTGTATAACTGTACGTAGATCTTAGAAAGGCAAGGGGATGTTTAGATAGCAGAAGTAAAGTGCGAAAGAGAGGGTAGGAGTTGGGGATGGCAGGAAATGATTGGATAAAAGTATTCATCCACGTGCATATTTTTCTGTTCTGCAACATGAGAAGTTCAGCCGCTGGGTATTTTAAAGGCAGTCTATTACTTCTATTATATATATATTAATAGCTTTACTAGCCACAGTGTTAATTATATGCTTTGCATTTCACCAGTGTTTCCAGGGGTTAGAGAAAATACAGTTGGATTAATAACATACCTGCTGATTGAAGAGCAAGGGCCTCCTGTTAGTTTGTCTGGTGATTTATTTCAGTGAAATAAAGATTTTAAAAATTATAATAAATTTCCATGGCTTGCTCTGTCTCACACAAAATGCCTAGTACCAAGTTTAGATCCTGAAATAGTTTGGTAACAATATGGCTAATGATGACAATAATAATTTATATCAGTAAATGGTACAATTAAAACCACATTTGATTAAATTATCCATTAAACTCTAAAAGCAGGTGTACAAGTTATTGTTGTTGGGTTTCGATGGTACATATTAAAACACAAATCTTCTCCAAGTCAAATGTATCTCCTTGTAGGTCTGCCTAAGACCTTTTTTTCTATGATGTTGTATCCTCTTAATTAGGACAAACACATTTGTTACATTTTTACTTAATCTTATTATGACACAAGGGCAGACATTTCTTTCTACTTTTCTTGTACTAACGGAGTAGACACACTCTCTGAAGGCTTCATGTAAAAGAGTCAAAGAACAGGTTGGTGAAAATGGCTTGAATTAAACATAATTCTGCTCACCAACCTGTCATTAAGCAGGACAGCAATGAATATTCTCAGGGAAAGAAATCAGAAAGCTGATCAATATGCATGTAGAGAGGCAATTTTAGTGGAAGTAGAACTAAGGGAGAAAGAAGGGGCTGCAGAGAGAGAAGATAAAACAGAAATGCAAGAAGATTTTTTAAAGAGATTGATAAGGACAGTAGCATTCAAAATGCCAGGCCAAGGGGAATAAACACATGAGCCACGAAGCCAAGACAATTTGGTCCTAGAGACGTGACTTTGTTGAACAAGAGCTACTTTGGTGGAGTGCTTGCCTTTTGGCTCCAGATCAGCTGCGTGAGATAATACTTTGAGTGTTTCAAAAGATGTGCCAAGGAAGGAAGGAAGGAAGGAAGGAAGGAAGGAAGGAAGGAAGGAAGGAAGGAAGGAAGAAAGGAAGGAAGGAAGGAAGAAAGGAAGAAAAGAAAGTTAGTTTACCTCATTCTCTGATTTCTATGAGGAAGAAGGCACTGAACTTTGAAAAGAGGAAAAGAACTTGGCCTTGGACCCTGCACACCCTGATTGAAACAGAGTGAATTTATCATGATGGGAGTAAGAAAATCACCTTCAGGGGGCCTTATAGGTACTGGCTGACAAGTGCCAACATCTTTCCTTACAAGAGGAATCATCCTAAAAACAGATGATCCTTTAGATTGGGAGTATATTTGTCTTCAATATCTGCAGTCGCACACCCTCTGCTTTGTCATGAGGCTCAGACTCAGACCCTCCACTGTGCAAACCTGACATCTTGTTGGGTATAACTGATCCAAATCTGAATTTCAACTTTCTTTTTTCTCTTTCCTTCCTTCCATATCCTCCTTTTTCCTTCTCTTCCTTCCTTCTTAAAAGATTTTAAAAAAAATTCTCAAAAAGTGATCATAGAGTTAACAGAGAGAAATAACCCTGGATGTAGTGCAGGGGAAAGGGATATATTGATCTTAACGAACATTAGCAGATCTCAGTTCTAATTCTGGATTTGGCACTAGGTAGCTATGTGACTTTGGACAAATCACTTCAGCTCTTTGGACTTCAGTTTTATCTTCATGACAATGAGCAGGTGATATTAGTTCATCTCTAATTTCCCTTCCAGTAGTAAGTACTTAGTGAAAGGGCTAAGAATGTAGACTTGGAGATTGGATCTGGATTACAGTACTTACTTCACCATTAAGTTGTTCTATGATCTTGAACATGTTATATAACTTTTAAACCTCAGTTTTTGTCTCTATAAAAATGCAAATTAAAAACAGCACCTACGTCATAGAACTATTGTCAGGATTTGGGAGATAAAGTATACCAAGAATTAAGAATAGTGCTTGAAACCTTGTAAGTATTCAATGAATCGTTATTATTATTTTTAACCAAAATGGATTTTTTGTTATTATAATCACAGATAGTTACTAATCTTCAAATTCAATTTCTCTGATAACAAAAAATAATGCCACATTCCACATGCCATTTGAAAAAGTAATATAAAATTGCACAATGACCAAGCTGTTTGTAAATCCTCACCTATTTACATGCTGGCAACAAGGTATCCTCTACAAAGACTAACTAAAGCAGATCAAACAGAATTAATTCTCTTCTCAGAACTATCAGTGTATGTTAGGCAATATCAGGCCTATTAAACAGATATTTGCCTTGTAGGTTTTTGTCGGTGGTTGCTGGGGTGATTATTGATTTGTTTGCAAATCTGTCCACTTTCTTTGGGGGTTTATTTCTGGGAAAACATAGACTCTTTTTCAGTGTAGATAAAACTGGTCATCACACAGTTTTCTAGATATAACTCTTGTGCCCACTGGGTCCTTACACCACGACCACGTATGTTTAAGTTTACAAAGGGAAAAGGAAGATTCTCAAAGATGTCAAATGGGGTAGAGCTTTAGCTCAAGCTGTCAAGTTGGAGTAAGCGATGCCAAAAAAAAAAAAAAAAATTCTGGCACTACAGCTGACTTTAGTAAGGAATGATTCATGCACAATCAGCCACCTTCATTATGTTCTCATTGCCGTGGAGATGATAGGGTGGAGGACACAGCTTTTCACCACCATCATAAGGCACAAGTGCTTTGATCAGGCTGGTACAGGCTGCTTGTTGAAAGCTGTTTCAAAACTACAACATTTTAGTCATAAACTCAAATCTAATCCTAGATGATCTCTAAGGTGAGCCTTAGAAATAGAAATTGCTATGTGCTTCTGTGTGAGTTGAAGAACCTCACTGAGATAACAACAGTGAGATCTTGAGCCTAATGTTTAGGGTAACACTTGATATCAGGAATTAGAAAACCACAAAGATGACAGAGAATATTATATTTATTGACTGTAATGTATGTGCATAGGCAATAAACACTCATTAAATTCTTTCAACAACCATGGGAGGTAGGTATTGTCTTCCTATTATGTATGAGAACTTAATACACCACAAGCCAAAGTCACATAATTTCTATGAGTGGAGCTGGAATTTAAACTCAGTTTGCCTCCAAACACTTTGCTTTTTTTCCTGGGATCCCAATGAATGAGGGTGGGAAGAATCCTCCAAGTCCCAAAATGTTTTACTTTTCTTTTCTTATTCAACTTCAGGAAGGCCTACGAAACCCTGCTGACTGTAGTCACAAGCAAGCATTTTTACAGATATTGGCAATGGAGGTTGCCAATTTTCTACTGGCTGTGCAGTATAGTCATAACGTTCCCAGTGTATAAATGCATGTGTAGTGGGACATAGAACGTGCTGATAGCACATGGCATACTTGTAGCCAGCCATCTTTGCATGGTAGCACCAACCTTGAAATCACCTCAGACACCAACTGAAACTCTGCAATTTGAGCAATGGCTCTGGTTTAGGTAGGGAACCAGTCTAACGCAAGGAGACATGGATCATCATGAGACTTAGAGCCCCGTGACACTCAGGGATCTATCTGAGGATGACAGAAGCAGAAAGAGAAGAGGGACACCAGTTTAGCCACACCCAACTATGTGTTTCATTAATACCTCCTTAGGAGAAAATTGACAAGTAACATCAGAACTACATGAGTTTTGCCAGTGTATTATTTTGTAACATAGCTTATAAATGTTATGCCTAAGCTAGTGGAGCCTATTAACTTTCTAATACAGGAAATATCTAAACTTATCAGCACTATCCATCAAATGGTAGGAAAAAAATGGATGATTAGAAATTACTTAATGGGTACAATGTACATTATTCAGGCAATGTATACCCTAAAGCCCTGATTTGACCAGTATGCCATCTATGCATGTAACAAAATTATACTTGTACCCCCATGAAATTAAACAAATAAAAAGAAAATAAAAAAGAAAAGGAAATCAGGAGAGATAATAAAAAATGAATGGAAAAAAATAGAAAGAAATATAACATAAATAAGATACTTTGGCAATAATCTTGGGTTTGATACGTAGAAGGAAGTTACCCACTGACTGGCATCGTCTGAACCCCATGCAGATAATCTGTATCAGGACTTCCAATTTCCCCAACCATCAGTTCTCCCATTGTGAACTGGCAGAGGTAACTCAATAAGGGCTTTGCACAATTTAGAAAAAATGTGGCACTTTCTTAATTAGGATCTAGGCAGATCCTGTTGCCTAGTTGGAGGGCTGGATTAGAAGCCAAAGCCTGATTTAGCTCTACCACTAACATCGCTCTATGTGGCTCAAAACATCTATAATTTAACTCAGGAAATATTGGGAGAAAAACCATGCCCTACTTATTTGATAAAAGCACTAAATATATCTAAAATACCCATGGCTTTTCCTCTCTAGCACTTGTGCTTCCCCTACGAACTTTGTCCCTTAGGGAAGAAGGGATATGGTTGAGAAGGAGTACGTGAGGCAATATGGCTTACTGGTTGTGAGCTTGAACTTTAGAGTTAGAAAGGTGCTGGTTCTGATCCCTGCTCTGGGGAACAGACAAATGCATCATCTGGAAACTGGTACTAATAGCTCCCAGCACGAACGGTGATTGTGGAAATTAAGCAGTACAATACTTAGCATACTACCTGATACACAGTGAGTGCCTAATACATGGTAGGTTTTAATATAATATTCAGTTTTAAAGCAAATTTGTTGAGTGAGATCCAATGCAATGCAAATCCAATTAGAAGACTGATAAAATAAGCAAACCAATTTTCATACACATAGAAGTTCATCAACATCCACAAAGGAGCCCAGAACAAGAATCTACTGAACTTGCACCACCCTCTGAGCCATATCCTGGACTTTTGGTAGAAAGGATGAACAAGAAACCATTCTTGGTCCTAGAGACATTATCGGAACGGAAGCGAAAGGGTCTTGGAAAAAAATATTCCTGCCATTCACACACAGCATTACCAGAGGGTTATTTTATACTCATAACATATTAATCTTCAAAAAGTTATCTTACTTTTAAAGATTAGAAAAGGTCACACTTTAAACATGTTCAGGAAATGTGGTTCTGTCCCAAAATACATTTCAAGATCCCTCCTGTGCATTATATTTCTTTTCCTTCCAAAAGAAGCTCTTACTCATCAATGCCATAAACCACAACAGCTGAGGATAGATTACAGAAGTTTGATTTGAAAACAACCCTCAGCACATATGTGTAAACAGAAACCAATTGTCATTTTTTGACTAGAATTTGCTCTCTCATTCCCTCTCTGCCTACTGACAGAATGGAAACTTTTTTTTTTTTTCTGACAGGAGAAAAGCAGGCTTCATCTCAGCCACTTCATCTTCTGTGTTCATCTGCTGGAGGTTTGAAAGCCTGTGTAGTCAAGAGGCCTTGAGCTGAGTTAGTCACCTCCCGAGGATAGGAAGCAGGTGTTTCAGACATTTCATGGTCCAATGGTCAGACCCAGTCAGAATTCCTTCCCATCTGCCAGAGTCAAGGCTTCAACCCCACCACTCTGACGACTTTGCAGATCCCCCAGTTTGAAGATATCTCTACCTCTGCAGGGCTTCTCTATCATTGTTTTTCTGCACTTGTGTATACAGCCGATAGTGCCCTGCATAGGTTTCTTGGGCATTTCTGCCTTTTTCAATGAGGATTGTTAGCCACCTACAGGCAGAAGAGCAACATTTATCCTTGCTTTTCCCATAGGCTTTAATACAGAGCATGACACATGTAAGTACCATACACTTATGCTTTAATGAAATAGGTGAATGAATCCAGGTGTCCCAGGAAAGGAGGTTAAAGGATTAAGATGAACTTTCAATTTTCTGACTCACTTTGTTCAATAAATTAATGTCACTAAGTGGCTAATCCAATTCTGTCCTACCTAACACAGGTCTGCAAATTGAAGGTCCTGCCACCACCTGCACAAGCCCTCCAAACAGTGGCAAAGAGAAGCACTGGAAGACAGACTAGTCCAGAAAAGTGGCTGTTGACCAACCTTCCTCATTCTTGTATCTTTGCACCCTTCTTTGGGTTCACTTATACCTTCTTCACATATTCCATTTTATAGGATATCTATGTTGCTCTAATTCTTAACCCACCCCATTGCCGCTTCCTTTCTTCTACATGACTCCTAGCTATTCTCTTCCACCTTCACAAAGCACTTGTCTTTGCATTGCACATCTGGTAATGAACCTTTTTGTGTCATCCTGGAATGAATGTGAGAAATATTACTAGGCACATTCATTGTAGTTTGTATATCCTGGAATGAATGTGAGAAATATTACTAGGCACATTCATTGTAGTTTGTATATCCTTCCTTACTCTGGGGCAACCTACAGTCTTCCCAACTATGATCTTGCAGATGAAGTGGGATTGAATACAGAAGATAAATGTCACAGGCTCTTCTCTGGGCCATGTTCTGGACATTTAAGCCAATAAAACAGAGTGGACAATCCTGATGTGATGTTAAGGGGACTAAGAGCTCCACTGACATGCAAATATTATCACAAGTCTCAGAATTCTTTTTGTATCTCTCAGAGAAAATATATTAGGATATTTTTAGCTATAAACATCTGGATGTGAATTGTTCTCTAAGATTTGCCAATCAATCACTTAGCAGGCCTTAAGCAGATGAAATCAAACATTTATTTGTCATTTGTGTCCATTCATTTATTCACGCATTCACTCACTTTTCTTTTTGTTAATCCCTTCCTTTTAAGCTTAAAAAAATTAAGATTAAAGCAATAAATATTTTATCTACATGTTGGCAAATATTTTCTCATTTTTCTCTGTTTTCCAGTTTTCTTTAAAGGAAAACATTCTGTGTTAGGAAAACATTATTAAAACATGATGAGAAGAAGATACTTCAGAAAGGTCTGAAACGCATGGCTCTACTAGAAATGATAGGGTCTCATGGGGTCACTATTGAGGCTTTGGACAGTTAGAAGTTTGCATAAAGGCAGGATAAGGAGTGCAGGGGCCATTGGGCCGGTAAGTGCTAAAGAAAGACATACTACAAGGATCACTAAAACAAAACAAACCAAACAAATAACAACAACAACAAAAAACATTTACCATTCTGTTGGTCTCTCTCTCTGGTTCTTGGCAAATACAAGAGACCACCAACCTGGGGAATTAATCAAGAATGCTTCTCATGCCAGAACCACTTGGTAACTTTTCAAAGCAAATTCAGTGAAGGCTCAAGTGCCAAGATCACCTGATTCCCTATGCTCCGTGGAAGTGAGCTTCAAGAAAGTGCAGCAGATGTGGCGTTTTGTGCTGAAAAGACACCATCCCTCAAGAGCCTGAGGCAGGGCTGGGGCAGCAGCAGCAAGGCTGGGATTGGGACAGGGATTAAACAAAAGGGACTTTCAGCCCTTGGAGTCTGGGAATCTCTGCTGTTCTCACATTTGAATAAGGGACTTCTAAAGGAAGGGCACTGCAAGGGCCACTCCTCATAGTTAGCCATATGCAGCTGTTACTAGGAATGTCATCGGACCTGCCATCGTTATCCCTGACACCTCTAATGGCAGCCACCCACCATCAGCCCTTCATATCTTGATTGCGCATCAGACACCTGGTCTACCTGTCTACATGATTTCTGAGAGGCATGTGCACTTTCTCTTCTTGTCTCTTTTATGGGCTATTTGCATTAGCATTTAAATTAAAAAGTTACAGGGGCTCATAAGAACATGAAATTCAAGGCACAGGAACTGTACAGTTCAATAACTTTTCTATGTTTCCCCCTTATTTCATATAGCACTAATGTTAGATGTGTATCTGTTGCACTGAAGAGAATCATTATTCGATAAGGTGAAAATATGACTTAGCAAAAGTAATAATACCAAGGTCCTGAATTCACTGAATTCTGGGCTTGCAATCCTGTAGCACTGAAAGTGAATTGATCTGAATAAGTCCTTAAATCCTGAATCACTTTTAAACATTACCATCACATTTATTCTGCCCACACCAGATGCTAACACTCTCCTCTAAACCCAATCCTCATTAAACCTAATTTTAGCTCAAGGCCTTTTCCATGATGCCAGGCTGACTTCCTCCAAGGGTTTTCATTTGAGGCCCTTTCTCCCACCAAGAATGTTCCCACCTCTTCACTGAGTAAAATTCCTCACATCTTTCAAGACCTGCTTTAACCTCTTAGCTCAAATTTATCTTTATTTCTCCTCAATTACTATTGTTACTATCTGGCCCCATGATTTCCCATGTAAAATTTCTGGCCTTGTCTGGGTCATTGATTTCACGTGTTCATTTCTTCTGATGACCTAAATGAGAGCTTCTCAAACTTTGGTATCATTAAGAGTCACCCCCAGGAAGGTGCCCCAAAATCCATTCCAAGGTGTGCAGTCAGGTCTGGAGATGGGCATTTTTAACACTCATTGTGGTATTCTGGTGTAGGAGACTGTGGACCATACTTTAAGAAATGCTCCCCTAGATCCTCAACTGGTTAGATCAAGATCACATGGCTTGCCTGGCACTGTGCCTCTAAGGAGCCACTACATCCTGGTAAGCACAGTCTGGGCATTCCAGAACAGCAACATCACAGGGCTTTCCTTGGGTCTAGAGATTGAGTTTCTTCAATTGTGTGCCAGCTCTGAGCCTTGCTCTATTCCTCTTGACTCTCTTTCCTTGAGAACCGATTCCCCAATCTATGCAACATCCCCATCTTGGTGCCTTGTTTTTTTCTAAATGCACAACCATTATTTAAAAATGTACAGGATATGCAAAACCGAAAAATAATGTGGACATTTGGAAAAATACAACTTTGTCAGAGGTTGAAACACACAATGGTTAAATACATTGTCAACTCCTGGCTCTGCCTCTTCCAAGGAGGGGACATTAGAAAAGTCACTCAGTCTTCCTTTACCTAAGCTCTCCTCACCTGTAAAATGGGAATAACAAAGTGCTTACTTTATGAAATTATTGTTACTTATGGGATTGTTATATATAAAACTCTGATATGGTATGTATATGTTCTTATGAAACTAATATAATTCCCATATATGTATTTATTTTTATAGCAAACATTCAGAGGAAGAAAAAATGGGTTTTAATAAGAAATTAAGGAGGTGGAAATAACAATAAGTGGACAAGTGAATTTCAGGTTCCACATTAAAGCAGACTTCATGTTTCTATGCAGGATCCTCTCACTCTAAATGGAAATAAAAGTCACTGAAAAAATGACAAATGCCCTGGGGTATTTGGCAAAAGGAATGATCTTCTTATCTCAGATTATAGTTGAATTCCTAGGAAATGTCTTTCTTCTTTAACGTTATAGTTTCCTTTATTTCACCAGGTGCACATTAAGATCCACAGATTTGATTCTCAAACACATGACTGTAGCCAATTCCTTGGTCGTACTCTCTAATCAAGTCCTACAGACAATGGCTGCTTTGAAGTTGAAATATTTCCTCAGTGACACTGGATGAAAACTTGTTTTCTATGTTCACAGAGTGGGCAGAGGTATGTGCATTGCCAGTAGCTGCTTTCTGAATATCTTGCAGGCCAAGATAATCAGCCCCATGAATTTCAAGTGGGCAGAGCTGAAGCTACAAGCTCCTAAATGCACTGGACTCTCCAACACCCTGTGCTGCATCCTGAACATGATGGTAAATAGCATTGTCTCTATGCATGTGACTGGCGAGTGATCAGCAAAAGCAGCACAAAGAAGAATCCACTGGGCGCCGGGGCTCACGCCTGTAATCCCAGCACTTTGGGGAACTGAAGAGGGTGGATCACGAGGTCAGGAATTTGAGACCAGCCTGGCCAACATGGTGAAACCCCGTCTCTACTAAAAATACAAAAATTAGCCTGGCCTGGTGGCGTGCACCTGTAATCCCAGCTACTGGGGAGGCTGAGGCAGGAGAATCACTTGAACCTAGGAGGCAGAGGTTGCAGTGATCCGAGATCGCGTCACTATACTCCAGCCTGGGTAACAGGGTGAGACTCCATCTCAAAAAAAAAAAAAAAAAAAAGAAAGAAAGAAAGAAAGAAAAAGAAAAAGGATCTCGGATACTGTTTTTCACTAGATAATAACAGGATTACTACATACAACATTGTCGTCATCCTAGGATATTTTGTATTGGAGCTTATGACATGCGCCAGCAGCTCCAAGGATCTATTGGGTATCTCTGAACTCAGGGGAGAATCTGGGGGAGAGGTTGCACCTGTGAATGTGTTGGACCCACTGCTTGTGACTGTATAGGATGAAAACCACCTTGGTCTTTGACTCAACCTTCTGTCCCCATCTCCCCTAACCAAAACCTGGGCCTGCCTCCTGCTTCTGGCATCTTTGAGCCATTTGGAAATGCCTTCCCAGATAGTTGGCCATAACTTTACTTTCGTTTGAGTTGGCCATTGCAAACCTTTTGGACGTACGTAACTTCTGAGGGAAAAGCCACCCTGCCTGCTCCAGCCTCAAAAACACTGCTTGCACTAGTATAATGATCTCTACCTTGTCTGCCTACAGAGGCCATTTTCATGTTTATTAGTTTATCTATTCATTTCATGTATGAGATTACATGGCTTTTACTAGGTAAAAATGGAGAAGAGCTACATTCTCAAGATACACCAGGGGTATTTTTGGATTTATTAAAAAACTAATGGCAGAGGAAATTAAGATTTCTCTTTTTCCTTAACCTTGCAGAATTGTGATTTCTAGCTTTTGAAGTCTTTAATGAATTAAAAAATAGCTCCAGTAAGTGTTCTTAGCCTTTGACGATCTGTTGGTTTTAAATAATTTTCAGGACCTGGAGCAAGTGAACTAAAGAACAAAATTTGACCATTGTTTTCTTTTAGATCTTCCTCAATCAATTTTCCGGGGTCCTATAAAATTTGAAAGCGAAGAATTAATGACAGATGATGCGGACAGAGCTGCGCTATGGTCCTGCTGCTTCTTCTCGCAAAGGAACGCAGTTCCTCACCAGCAACGGAACAAAGCTGGACGGAGAATGACTTTGATGAGTTGAGAGAAGAAGGCTTCAGACGATCAAACTACTCCGAGCTACAGGAGGAAATTCAAACCAAAGGCAAAGAAGTTAAAAACTTTGAAAAAAATTTAGACGAATGTATAACTAGAATAACCAATACAGAGAAGTGCTTAAAGGAGCTGATGGAGCTGAAAGCCAAGGCTCGAGAACTACCTGAAGAATGCAGAAGCCTCAGGAGCCGATGCAATCAACTGGAAGAAAGGGTATCAGTGATGGAAGATGAAATGAATGAAATAAAGCGAGAAGGGAAGTTTAGAGACAAAAGAATAAAAAGAAACAAACAAGGCCTCCAAGAAATATGGGACTATGTGAAAAGACCAAATCTATGTCTGATTGGTGCACCTGAAAGTGACGGGGAGAATGGAACCAAGTTAGAAAACACTCTCCAGGATATTATCCAGGAGAACTTCCCCAATCTAGCAAGGCAGGCCAACATTCAGATTCAGGAAATACAGAGAATGCCACAAAGATACTCCTCGAGAAGAGCAACTCCAAGACACATAATTGTCTGATTCACCAAAGTTGAAATGAAGGAAAAAACGTTAAGGGCAGCCAGAGAGAAAGGTCGGGTTACCCACAAGGGAAGCCCATCAGACTAACAGCGGATCTCTCGGCAGAAACTCTACAAGCCAGAAGAGAGTGGGGGCCAATATTCAACATTCTTAAAGAAAAGAATTTTCAACCCAGAATTTCATATCCAGCCAAACTAAGCTTCATAAGTGAAGGAGAAATAAAATACTTTACAGATAAGCAAATGTTGAGAGATTTTGTCACCACCAGGCCTGCCCTAAAAAAGCTCCTGAAGGAAGCACTAAATATGGAGAGGAACAACCGGTACCAGCCACTGCAAAATCATGCCAAATTGTAAAGACCATCGAGGCTAGGAAGAAACTGCATCAACTAACGAGCAAAATAACCAGCTAACATCATAATGACAGGATCAAATTCACACATAACAATATTCACTTTAAATGTAAATGGACTAAATGCTCCAATTAAAAGACACAGACTGGCAAATTGGATAAAGAGTCAAGACCCATCGTGTGCTGTATTCAGGAAACCCATCTCAAGTGCAGAGACACACATAGGCTCAAAATAAAAGGATGGAGGAAGATCTACCAAGCAAATGGAAAACAAAAAAAGGCAGGGGTTGCAATCCTAGTCTCTGATAAAACAGACTTTAAACCAACAAAGATCAAAAGAGACAAAGAAGGCCATTACATAATGCTAAAGGGATCAATTCAACAAGAAGAGCTAACTATCCTAAATATATATGCACCCAATACAGGAGCACCCAGATTCATAAAGCAAGTCCTGAGTGACCTACAAAGAGACTTAGACTCCCACACAATAATAATGGGAGACTTTAACACCCCACTGTCAACATTAGACAGATCAACGAGACAGAAAGTTAACAAGAACACCCAGGAATTGAACTCAGCTCTGCACCAAGCGGACCTAATAGACATCTACAGAACTCTCCACCCCAAATCAACAGAATATACATTTTTTTCAGCACCACACCACACCTATTCCAAAATTGACCACATACTTGGAAGTAAAGCTCTCCTCAGCAAATGTAAAAGAACAGAAAATAAAACAAATTGTCTCTCAGACCACAGTGCAATCAAACTAGAACTCAGGATTAAGAAACTCACTCAAAACTGCTCAACTACATGGAAACTGAACAACCTGCTCCTGAATGACTATTGAGTACATAACAAAATGAAGGCAGAAATAAAGATGTTCTTTGAAACCAACGAGAACAAAGACACAACATACCAGAATCTCTGGGACACATTCAAAGCAGTGTGTAGAGGGAAATTTATAGCACTAAATGCCCACAAGAGAAAGCAGGAAAGATCCAAAATTGACACCCTAACATCACAATTAAAAGAACTAGAAAAGCAAGAGCAAACATATTCAAAAGCTAGCAGACGGCAAGAAATAACTAAAATCAGAGTAGAACTGAAGGAAATAGAGACACAAAAAATCCTTCAAAAATTAATGAATCCAGGAGCTGGTTTTTTGAAAGGATCAACAAAATTGATAGACCACTAGCAAGATTAATAAAGAAGAAAAGAGAGAAGAATCAAATAGACGCAATAAAAATGATAAACAGGCTTCACGTTTCAAAAAGCTGTTCCCCACTGCCAGTTCACTTCTATTTTTATAATATGGCAGCACCGTACAGCCTCCCTAATCACCTCTCCATACTCTCGCAATTCTCTCCCTCTGTGCTCTCTCAGCCTTATGCACTTTCCAGCCTTGCATTTAGTTACCATGTAAGGCCTCCTCCCTCCTCTAGATTACAAACTCCTTGAGGGCAAGGTGCCTGCCACCTTCATCATGGCACATCCCATAATGTTTACACAGTGCCTTGCTGTTGGTATATGCACCGTTAGTCCATAATTGTGTCAAATGGCAATTAGCATTGGCTTTTTGTACTTCATGTATCATTTTCTCCCTTCAGGCTTAGAACATATCACAGGAGATGGATGCTTTCCAGAGTGTCTCGCCACTCTTGAAATCAGAGGCACTATGCCGCACTAAATCCAACTTCTTCCATCATGTATTATAATTGGTAACAGCAAGGTTACCTTATGCTTTTTATGCCAGATGATATTTGAAAAAATATATGAAAAGGTTATGAAGGGTCCAGATGGCTTGTAACAGAAATGGTAAACAACCTGACATGTTCACAAGGGTATAAAAAATGTCATTTTTAAATCTGTACAATGATAATGAAAAAATCTCAGCCATTCTGGCAAAGTCATACAAAGCATTCAGGGAAGCCCATGTCAGTCTTTTAGCATATGTAGAATGTAGACGCACAGATTTTATTTCTCTACCTACACTTCTGAAACTGCATTTGTAATTCACTGCTAGAACTAACAAAAAGACTAATTTCTTGGTGTGTAATACTCTGCAATTGCAGAAATATGCCAACTAGTTTTCCCTGTCTCTTGCAGTACAAGATTGTGTTAGAGGGAAGCATAAACCAATTAAATGTCAGGAGCAATTAACTACTGCATTTTTCACGCAACACAGAATGAGAAAATTTTATAGTGCTCCTATAATTAAAGTTAATAAAAATGAATACAGAATTCCCCAACTGCTCATAAGTCATTCAGGTTCCTATGACCACAACATACAAATATTCTCCACCTTGCATGAGTCTCATGGCTTTATTGGAGATGTCATGGGGACTGGGCTTCTTCTTGTTTTCCACAGCTGTCTATGCAGTTAATGCACATCTCTGTTCTCCCACTAACGATAACAAGGGGGAGAATCCAGCTGGAATTATAAAAGAGAAAGGGAGCTGGTCCATCTACTTTGGCCATTTGAGGGCTTGGAATGCAGAGACAGTTCTATGTTTACTAATAGAAAGTCAATCAGATGGGGAGCAGAAGGGGCTAAAAGCAAGATAAAGCATTGAGTCATGGAAAAGAGAATTCATATTAAAGTCTCATTTCCTCATGCCTGTAATCCCAGCACTTTGGGAGGCTGAGGTGGGTGGATCACCTGAGGTCAGGAGTTCAAGACCAGCCTGGCCAACATGGTGAAACACTGTCTCTACTAAAAATACAAAAATAATTAGCCAGGCATGGTGGCGGGCACCTGTATTCCCAGCTACTTGGGGGGCTGAGGCAGGAGAATCACTTGAACCCAGGAGGTGGAGGTTGCAGTGAGCTGAGATTGCACCACTGCACTCCAGCCTGGACAACAAGAGCTAAACTCCATCTCAATAAATAAATAAATAGTCATTTCAACTCCATTTCAAGGCAAAGGAAAGGACTTAAAATCAAAGATACTGTGAATATCCTCATGCATCTAAGAGATGAAAGGTGTGTGATAAACACAAATAGCTATTTTTAAGCATAGATACACACGTGTACGTAATGACAAATCATTCTATTTGCAGAGCATCTTCCTAGCAAACAGTATATATGCATATGCATAAGTACCCAGTGCTTTGTACATAATTATTATGTAAAGGAGTATTTTTCTAAAGAGAAAAGACACCGAAACTCACAAACATTTCTCTCAGAGTCTCATCAAAACTAGATGCTCCCTTATGCTCAAGCCCAAAAGTGTGTCTGTCTTCGATACTAACATGTTATAAAGAAGTATGCTTGTTTTTCCCCTTTGAAAAGGATTAAAAACCTCATAGAGATAAAGGTACTAATTTTCTTAGAATACATAATAAAAATATGTAACATGTTTATTATATATAAAATAATAACTATCAGAACATATGTTAATAGGGTTAAAAATAATTGCTCTATATTCAACCACCAATAAATAACTTTTATCATTTTGTGAAAATAATTTCAAATATTTATCTCTACATATTTATAGTCAGAAGAGAGGTTATATAGATGACAGATACATAGAAAGATAGAAAGATTAGATAGATGCAAAAGTAACTATATGAAACATGATCATATTATACATGCTATTTTTACTAATATATGAATCATCTAGACATAGCTACAGAAAAAGATTCAGTTTGCACTGAAATAATTGTTAGCTGTTTTCTTTTTCTATCTAGTATAGTTAGGCTTTTAAAAAACATCTTAAAAGCTATGAGGTTTGCATAATTTTTAGAGTAAGCTATTTAACAAACACTTCTATGTACTCTGTCCAATTTTCTTACTAATCATCTGGGTAATGTGGATATATTATTTTAAAACAGAGAAACCAAAGCAATGATCTTTCAGGAAAAAAAAACATATAAGCCTCTAAACAAACTCAACTTCCTTGCTAAGGCCTACTGAAGACAATGGAGATAATAAATGTCAAATAATGCAATCTAAAGTCAACCTATAGAGTTTATCAAAAGTAAGCTTAATCGATTGAATTGTCAGTGTATAAATGCATAGTAACAATCCTATTCAGTTAAATCTGGATGAATCCGGTCTTCTAAAATTATTTGTTACAATTTTTATTCCACATTGTTCCCAGACCAAGAGACAAGAAGTTATTATCTGTAAAATGCAAAAGAATAAAAAAGATTCTGCTGCAGAAACACATGGCAAAGGTTACAAAGAACATTTTTAGTCAACAAAGTCTATCAAAGGTATGTGAAAAACTTAGAAGCAGAAATCTGGAGATGCCATCAGAATGAGAAAGTTCTAAATTTAAAGTTAGAACCATTGAAGTATGCAAGTCTGAACAATCTTGGGGCACAAGCCTTGGTTCAATTAGAATATGTAGAAATACAATAATAATTTTTTACTTAATACTGATCACAGTTATCAGTTCTGAAATAAAATTAGCTTTTGGAAATTATCTTAGAAATTTGATGTTTCATCAAATTTTAGTTGTACATTTATAAATACATGCCTATATAAATATGTATATATGTGTGTATATGTTAGATATTTCTTGTATATCATCCAAGTCAGTTTTACAGTATAGTATAGTATATATTGCTTTTTAAAAAATCTTCCTTCCATAATATTAAATCTTCATAGGCAGAAAATATGTCTTATTTACCTCATATCCTCCGTGTAACAGGGTACATTAACCATGATAGTCATGTAAGGAATGACTGTCAAATCAATTGGTATACAGACAGATATACAGGTACATAATACATACATACATGTGTATACATGCCTTTACAAACACACAGACACATACACTCACATATGTGTAAAAACTTATTGAGGTGCCTTTAAGTGTAATGATATACATTTGTATACTCATTTTGGTAATATAAATGTCATTATACATTGCAGTATAAGTGCTATTATATTAATGGTAAAAGAGTTAGGTGTGCACAAGGTGGAAGTTCTTTAAGGAAGATGTGGGATTTGAATAGAATCTTGAAATGTGGATAAAATTTTAATAAGTGGGGGTGGCAAGAGGGAATTCCAAGCTAATGAGGCACTTTGAACGTGGGCTGAGATGCATGGAATATTTGGGGTTTGTTACGGACACAGCATAAGTGATGAATTGCTTGTGGCTTGACAATGAGGTTGGGGACAGGTAAGCCCAATATTTTAAGCATTTTTAATCTATCGATCTATTTCGTCTCGTGATATTTGTATCAGGTAGGTAGGATCTTATCTCCGTTTGGCAGACAGAGACATTTGTGCCCAGAAAATTGCCTAAAGCCATTTGACTAATATGTGGAAGAACCTGGATTCAAAACTAGGCAGTCTGACACTGGATCCACAATCTTAAGTACTTCACTATTCATGATGAATGAATGAAAGGAGGAAAGTTCCTAGTAGTTACTTATAGCCAGAAGTAGGTAGCCACAGGCCAGAAGACAGACCCTACCCTAGATGAAATCTTAGGAGAAAGAAAATGTCCAGGTAACTGGGAGAATTTTCTCATTAACAGAAAAGCAAAGTTAGTCAAGGCTTTACTTTTGGGTCCAGAGAGCACTGGTTGCCTCAGATAATGACAGTTTCGGCATAGCTTGCTTTAGTTTTCCATGCAGGGTCCAACAGCCTGTATCTGGGTCAAAAATGGAACAAGTCATCTTCACCCAGGACCAGTAACTAAGAGCTGAAGAAGGGGTAGCATTACAGAGACTTCCCGAGAGATGCCATGCTCTTTCACAGTGTGAAGGCAGGGAGAGAAATTGAAACTAACTGGGAAGTCATCCTGAAGAGATCTGAGGGAGCTGCCTTAAAGCAGTCCGCATATGAAATCCTTGAATGTTGCATGCAAACCGTAGTAACTTCAAGATCTTACACAGGAAGTTTACCGCTAAGAATAAAAAGGGAAAGTGATAAAAAGTAGAGTGGTGGGTGGTCAAGGTGGAATGTTATATATGAATTCCGAAGTAAACTGGCTTTCTTTATGGCTTACTTTACCCAAGTAAAAAATATCCTGGAACCAGTCATATTACAATGTAAATAGTTGTCAGGTGCTTTAAGTAGACTCAGATTAATACTGTACTGAGATTTTTCTAAAAGTTGTCTATAAAAAGTCACTGTATTCCTTCTCCAAGGGAGTATTTGCTCTATCATCCAATATTGTATTCTGGATCTCACTGAATTCAGTTTTAATCTTACCCATATGCTTCATATGTTACCACTGAATAATGTTTTGTTTCATGCATGGGTATTATGATTGCCCAAACCAATTAACTAGTGTTGTGAGCTGCTTCAGGCCCAAGGTGAATGAACAGAGCATTTTAGCAGTAGAAGTACAGGCTTTCAAACTGGAAGGAACTAGCTTTCTTCACAGCTGTTCATCCCTACCTGCCACATCTCCGACCAGGTATTTCAGATTTCACTGGGCCTGTTTTCTCAGTCATATAATAGGAATGACAGCAACCACCCTACATGGTGCCTCTCACGGTTGCAATGTGAAGGCTTTCCTTATATGGGGGGAACAAAAACACCAAAACTTTTCATACAGTTGTTGTTGTTGTTTTGTTTTGCCTTACAAATGAGGTATTTCTCTATAACCCAAGCTGGAATGCAGTGGCACAATCATAGTTCACTGTGACCTCAAACTCCTGGGCTCAAGGCCTCTTGTTGCCTCCGCCTCCAAAGTAGCTGGTGCTATAGATGTGTGCTGCCATGTCCAACTCATATTTTATTGATATATTTATTCAGAGAGATGGGATATTATTTTGTTGCCCAGAGTGGTCTCAAACTTCTAGGCTCATGCAATCCTCCTGCCTCAGCCTCCCAAAGTGCTGGGATGACAGGCATGAGTCACAGCATCCAGCCTAATACCGTTTTTGAAGGGGAAAAACAAAGATTTTGGAAGAACTCATTGTCAGGTATCCTACATTTTCATGACTTTGCAAAACACTGATGTGGCATTACAGAGACAGGCATTTTCACTGGTGGGGATGTCCTGGTGATGCTGCTGTGGTCAGTTAGAGCAGTGTTCACACTCACTTGACACTGAGAGAACCACCAGAGGGTGCCCTTAAAAGAGCAACAGTGACACGTCTTAGATTCTATTGTTGACCTGCTGAGTCACCTCAGCCACCTTTATTACTTTCAGTTTCTCCAACTGCAAAATAAGGATAATGATACTTGCCCTTCCTACCTGACAATCTCCTCTTGATGACCAGTCATGACATTAATAATTATTCACCTTTGAATTGTTAGCCTTTTTGAATACATTATGGTACTGCAACTTCATATCACCCCTGTGAAGAAGGCTCTCTATCCAGAAACTGTTAGTCAAAAAACTGATAAATAGCTCATGAATTAGATTTTTCTTTGTTCCCACATGTCACTGTTCAATCTCTAATGGATTTGTAAAGGTCACCCAGCAAGCAAGTGGCATGTAAGTTGGGACATGGACCCAGGCCGCTGGCTCTAAATCCAGTGTGCTTTCAAGCATGGCAGGTAGCCTTTCGAAGGGGAATAATAAATGTGAAAGTATTAGATTAAACTACATAAAATTCCAGTTTTATAAGCTAAGAAAAAACAGTTGAATATCAGCAATTTCATATGGTTCAATATGA
Source organism: Homo sapiens (assembly GCF_000001405.40). NCBI lineage: Eukaryota > Metazoa > Chordata > Mammalia > Primates > Hominidae > Homo > Homo sapiens. The sequence goes on along the minus strand of NC_000018.10, from coordinate 52,409,389 downwards.
CACTCTACCAATGTATAAGAGTTTAGATACACACAAGTTATTATGATGAATTGTGGCTGATGAGCATTGTCTGCAGTCTACTCTGAATCACAACAGAATCAGTTGCCTTTGGATAGCATCCTTACCTACAACCACATACACCATATTGTTACTTGCCAATATGTTTGCTCTTACGTAGTGATATCCTGTGCCTGAGGCAGGTGCAATGTAAATGGAATACATGATACATCCCAACAGTCCAGGAAATGTACGAACTGCTGTTGTAAGTCAGCTGCTTTTTTTCCTTGGCATCCTTTCCTGAAATAATGAATCAAAACATTTCTCTCTGTAACAAGAAGTGCTTTGTGCTGATGAGAACTCAGGATTGTCTGTAGGGGTATATCCCAAGACATTCATTTGACCTTAATGAACAAAAGTGAGCTGCTTTTGGATCTACCTCATAAGGATGACATGAGCCTTGTAGTTCAACCTAATAAAAACAAATAGCACTCCCCAAACTCCCACAAATCATTTTGTCTGCCCTTTAAAGAGAACTCAGAAGTTTCCAGTGAAAAGATTCCTTACAGATAGTTTACAAATCTATCACAAAATGCACAACAATTTGAGAAATGAAAGAAAATCTAATAGTTAATACAATGATGAGTTAAGCTGAAAATGCTTAGGGTATGAAATTATATTTTTTCCAGTACCATATGCTTAATAAATCCAGAGTTTTCTGGAGCTATAGATGCTTGATGCTTCAGAGGAATATAAAATAACAAACTATACATCCAAACTGCATTAATGTGCAGTCAACTTTTGCATATGAACTAAATATCTAAAAACCTGGGGTGTAATTACTTATAAATTAATTTGTAGGCCTGAGTTGTTTTATGGTCCACATCAGGAATTGTCTTTGCCAACAGGGGCTGATAAAAACTTATCTCATATTTCTAAAATGAAATTCAAAATGTATAATTTCAGTTCATAATTCTTCATGCATCCTGAATTCAGCATTTGTCATTGTAGATATTCTTTAAGAAAATTTAATAAAAATTTTTAAAAAGACTTTCCTCCATGAAAAAAGCTTAAAAAAATTAAAATGTCTTCTAACTACATTTTATATAAAAAACTGGTGTTGAATCTAATCTCATTTCAGTTCTTAAAAAAATCTGGATTTTGACAGCTAGACCTTCTAAACTAGTCTCATACTAGTATATTATTTTAGAATATCATATATGGCATTTGGATATGTGATTGATAGTAAGTCCCAAGAAGTTTTTGGACTTTTCATAGGCTTATTGGATGAATAATATATTTCTGTAAGACAGAAGACTTATTGTCATTTATTTTCTCATAAAAACAGCAGATTTATAAGTAGATACAAAGTTTGCCTGAGTCAGTTATACTTAAGTCTTAACCACATTAACCAATTAAACTAAGAGAATGAAAATCAACAGGCTAGTATTGGATGGAGTAAGGCAAGAGGCAAAATAACTAAAGGAATTTTTTGATTATCTCATTGCTTTCCATATATGGCCTCCACAGAAATGTAGGCCATGGGTATTTTGGTACAAAATATTTGGAGAGGGAAGCTGTACACAGAAAAAACTGCTAGCTTAGAAATAGAGAATGTACTTTTCTATAAATGTATTATGATTTTAGAGAACACTTTGAAATCTCTGCTTTCCAACCTAACCATTCATTCATTCATTTCTTCAACAAGCTTCATATTGAAGATGCATTGTGTAGATAGATGGAAGAAGATGCAAGAACACCAGAAGAAAAGGAGTTTCTATCCCAAAGAGTTGGCTTTTTTTTCAATCTAATTGAAATAGAACATAAAAAGTTGAAACAATTAAAGAATAATTTTAAGAGGCCCTTATATAAGGGCGTGAATGTTTGGAGATATTCAGATAATCAATATCAAGGAAGTAATTGGAGTATGACCAGGTTATTAATTTATTTTGAGTTGGGTCTTGAAGACCAAGACCTCTTTTGGACCTGGACAACCGAAAATATATCAAATGCACATTCATCTCTTATTAGGTTTATATTACTCAACATATCTTTCATCTTTTGTTTTACTGTTTCTAGTAAAACTATCTCATATTTACCTCAGGAGTGCTCTTCACCTTCAACGCTAAGGTACAAAGTTTCTCTTGACATTTGCCCATAAGCATCACTGACTGTAGGATAGACTCAGGACTGGCTGACCCCACTTCCTGGGAATTTACATGACAGCAATCATGGAGCAAAAATAAGTGGTTGTTAATAATCAACACCTAGCTGCAGGAGTGACAATTGTGCCACCAAATGTTTCCACAGGAAAAGATTATGGAGAGTGCTATTTAGAAAAGACTACAGTAATCAAACTCACCAATCTAGTAGGAGAAGTCAGAGACAAAACAACATGGTGATTTTTAAGCACCGGTGTGAATCTCAACAAAAATATTCATTTGAAAATACAAAACAAACCTGGCAGAGAATGCAACCACACAGATACATACAGACTCACACATGGGTTTATTAAAAGGAAAACAAATAATCATTAGTTCAGACTGTCTTATATCATACTGAATCTACCTACATAGATTGCTACACTGGGTAACTATCATTAACAGTCTCTGGAGCTTTGAGGAATCAACCTCTAGGGTACCTCCCAAACTGTAAAACATTTGTTTTGTTTTAATTTTACAAGATTCCATATAAAATTTACAAACATACAAGTTGTAACAGAGAGACAGTAAGAAGTAAAAGGATTAGCTAGCCCTTTATCATCTTTGAACATTTATTTTAATCAGAAGGGCACAGAGATTGCAGAGGATCATTCCTGGACTATGTAAGAATCTGGAGCCCATTATCCAGAGTCCGAATTAAGCAATAATGCTGTCATAGGCTTAGTAGGCCTACTCTGAAAACTCCATTCTTTTTCTTGTAAATTTGTTTGAGTTCATTGTAGATTCTGGATATTAGCCCTTTGTCAGATGAGTAGGTTGCGAAAATTTTCTCCCATTTTGTAGGTTGCCTGTTCACTCTGATGGTAGTTTCTTTTGCCGTGCAGAAGCTCTTTAGTTTAATTAGATCCCATTTGTCAATTTTGGCTTTTGTTGCCATTGCTTTTGGTGTTTTAGACATGAAGTCCTTGACCATGCCTATGTCCTGAATGGTAATGCCTAGGTTTTCTTCTCTGGTTTTTATGGTTTTAGGTCTAACATTTAAGTCTTCAATCCAACTTGAATTGATTTTTGTATAAGGTGTAAGGAAGGGATCCAGTTTCAGCTTTCTACATATGGCTAGCCAGTTTTCCCAGCACCATTTATTAAATAGGGAATCCTTTCCCCATTGCTTGTTTTTCTCAGGTTTGTCAAAGATCAGATAGTTGTAGATATGCGGCGTTATTTCTGAGGGCTCTGTTCTGTTCCATTGATCTATATCTCTGTTTTGGTACCAGTACTATGCTGTTTTGGTTACTGTAGCCTTGTAGTATAGTTTGAAGTCAGGTAGTGTGATGCCTCCAGCTTTGTTCTTTTGGCTTAGGATTGACTTCGCGATGCAGGCTCTTTTTTGGTTCCATATGAACTTTAAAGTAGTTTTTTCCAATTCTGTGAAGAAAGGCATTGGTAGCTTGATGGGGATGGCATTGAATCTGTAAATTACCTTGGGCAGTATGGCCATTTTCACGATATTGATTCTTCCTACCCATAAGCATGGAATGTTCTTCCATTTGTTTGTATCCTCTTTTATTTCCTTGAGCAGTGGTTTGTAGTTCTCCTTGAAGAGGTCCTTCACATCCCTTGTAAGTTGGATTCCTAGGTATTTTATTCTCTTTGAAGCAATTGTGAATGGGAGTTCACTCACGATTCGGCTCTCTGTTTGTCTGTTGTTGGTGTATACAAACAACCCCATCAAAAAGTGGGCGAAGGACATGAACAGACACTTCTCAAAAGAAGACATTTATGCAGCCAAAAAACACATGAAAAAACGCTCATCATCACTGGCCATCAGAGAAATGCAAATCAAAACCACAATGAGATACCATCTCACACCAGTTAGAATGGCAATCATTAAAAAGTCAGGAAACAACAGGTGCTGGAGAGGATGTGGAGAAATAGGAACACTTTTACACTGTTGGTGGGACTGTAAACTAGTTTAACCATTGTGGAAGACAGTGTGGCGATTCCTCAGGGATCTAGAACTAGAAATACCATTTGACCCAGCCATCCCATTACTGGGTATATACCCAAAGGACTATAAATCATGCTGCTATAAAGACACATGCACACATATGTTTATTGTGGCATTATTCACAATAGCAAAGACTTGGAACCAACCGAAATGTCCAACAATGATAGACTGGATTAAGAAAATGTGGCACATATACACCATGGAATACTATGCAGCCATAAAAAATGATGAGCTCATGTCCTTTGTAGGGACATGGATGAAATTGGAAATCATCATTCTCAGTAAACTGTCACAAGAACAAAAAACCAAACACCGCATATTCTCACTCATAGGTGGGAATTGAACAATGAGATCACATGGACACAGGAAGGGGAATATCACACTCTGGGGACTGTTGTCGGGTGGGGGGAGGGGGGAGGGATAGCATTGGGAGATATACCTAATGCTAGATGACGAGTTAGTGGGTGCAGCGCACCAGCATCGCACATGTATACATATGTAACTAACCTGCACAATGTGCACATGTACCCTAAAACTTAAAGTATAATTTAAAAAAAAAAAAGAAAACAAAAAAGAAAACTCCATTCTTAACTTCGGGCTGCAAAGTAGAAATCTGCCCATTTTTACCAATATAGGGATAAGGGCTAGTCACTCTTTTCTTCGTATTTCTGCATACAGGTTTACTGTGTGTGTCCTTGGAAAGATTTCTTTCTTTACCAACTTCAGTTATGCAATATAAACTCAACATGTTTAACGTTACAGAAGTGTTCACTATGCAGCAGGAGGAAGGCACACAGTCAGCGTACATCATTTTACTCTTATGTTATCTTTCAAGTTGAGTGTCAGATGCTCGCCATCTAAGAAGAATGACTGTTCTCCATGGTACTAACCCATTCTCTTCAGTAAAAGCATAGTCAGCCTGACCTATGGAAGGAAGAGTTGCTCAATGATGTCTGTACATTTTCAATTCATTAAAGCTCTACATTATGAACATAATCATTTCCCTCCTTAATACATGATAAATGATGTCTCTAGAGTTCAGGGAAATATTAATAATGAGCTGACACCATATTTTTTTGCCTGATAAGTCCATGTATCATTGTACCGCTGTCTTTAGGAATCCCACCTCCTACCCCTCAAAGTCAGGCAGAACCTTCTGTCTAGCCAAAGACATGCCCTGTTGGAATATACTTTTGTTTTTCCAGAAAATGACCATTCTGAATCTAAGAAATACAGTGTAAATCACCAGGAGGGTTAATGCTTACTAATTGCCCATGACTAAAGCTCTACATAATGTCTAGTGACACAGAGAATTCCAAATCATTATTTGTTCATCTCTCAGTGAACAATACACTCATCAAACATACATTAAAGAAGGCCTGCTTTTAAGAGCACTAGGGCTGGCATCAAGTGCTGCTGAGGAGGCTCTTCTCAAGTGTGAAATATGCTATTGAATTAGCAGCAAATGCATTATTTAGGGAAGGGTTATGCTTTGAACACACACACACATACACACACAAAGGCACTAAGGCATTGCCTCCTCCTTCCCTCCTTAGTTGCTCTTTCCTGAATAATTTTCATTTTCATTTCCTCTGCATTAGTTTTTCATAGAATCTAGTGAACAATATAAAGAATGTGGTGGGGAAAATGAGATGATTCATGGACAAGAAGCAGCACTTTTTATTCCCATGTTTACTGACCAATGGCTCTTTAGGAGAGATGATAGTAAACACTCTAGCCATGAATCAAAACACAATTGGGCTGTTAATCAGGGTGTTAAGTATGAGTCTGGACCCTCAAGAAGCCCCAGAGTAAGCTCTTTCTGAATGACAGGGGCAGTGAAAGACTTGAAACCACCAAAATAAGAAGTGGAGAGCATCAAGGGCTGTTCAGCTTTCCCTTATCTCTGCTTCCCTTATAGGGAGACCAGAAGACAACAACAAAGACAAATCTGAGATATGTCACCAGGATCTGGCCTACCTTGTAGATACCACATATCATTCTTTTGAATGCTTACTTGTAGAGATGTTTCTTAAAAATTACTAGAAAACATACGGTAAACTTTACTATAGGCAAAGCTTTTGCCTGAAACTCTCAAAAAAACAAATAGTCAAATGCTTTTTGTCCACCATCAAAACTTTCACCGTTGCACCTGTTTTCTTAGCCAAATCCTTCTGTTAATGATTTGGTATTAGTCATTCCCACTGCACAGAAAACACATGCATCTTCAGCTTAGCCTATACAGTGACTAAACTTCTGTATTTGCTCCAGGCACACTTGAACACTGACTGTACTGTTTTAATAATAATCCTGTAGGATGACAATTAATTAGTGCCTCGTTCAACTATATTGAAGACAAAAGGCACTATGTGAGCATTCAGGATTAACATTCATTAGTATTCCTCCTCCAACCAGCAACCCAAATATTCCCTACTTTCCCTATTATCACTAATTCTTGCTCACAAATTCTACAAACATTAACTAATTAATGATGACACTAGCCCATAAGGACAGTATATAAAGGAGGGTTAAAGAAAGGAGATAAGGAAAATAGTCTCATTAGTTACACATTTCAAAATTTAAAATGCGACATCTAAAAAACCAACTTATTTTGTAAATGACAGACAGAAAGAAGAAAAAAGAAAACTTTAAGTGGGGAGATTTGGAAGTGAAGCCAACCTTTAGAAGAGCAGTTGAAATAATAATTCCTTGAAACTTTCAAGTCACAGCTTGATGGGTACTTTCCTGGGGCACTTAAAGGATGGAGAAAATAGAAAGGAAGATGAAGAGAACAAACACAATGAGTAAAATGAACTGTTATAGTGGACTTCAGGGAGTTGAAAACATGCGATAGAGGCCCATGTCTACACATTACTTACTCAAATGCATTCTTGTTTATAGAGTAAAATATTCTGATCACCCAAAATGAACCAGGCCAGATGCAGTTTTAAATCCATTTAAATCGATCAGAGAGTGAGTTATCACACTATACTACCACCAAAGTAAATGTTTAACTCTTTCATATATACCATTAATATCGGGTAGTTACTTTCACTTACTATGAAAGAACAAAACTTCAAAACTAAAAGGATTTCTAAAGTATAACCCAATCAGTTAGATATGTCCATGGGCACTGAATTGTACATGCAACCCTTGACAAGTAATACACTTGCTTACTAGAAGACAGCTGCAACGATTTGAAGACAGTCAACCATCTTATGTGAAATTTTACATCCTATAATATCGTTATAAATTGAAATTTTCTTCCAGAAAAGGCAGTTCGTTGTATTAATGTAACAAAGTTGATCAGGAAAAATAATTGAAAACACAATTTTACATTTTTGTAGAGAATTAAATAGGCCAAAAATTTATGACAGAACAGCTATGTCAGAAATATTACTTTAGGAAAACTCTTTATCATTTTGTTAAGCCTTCCTAAAATTGAGCATAATGAACTTCTAACAGAAAAAAAGCTTGTTCTTTTCCTAGTAAATCTCACTTTTGAAAGAAAAGACATAATTCACTGCTCTAGGACTTAGAACAGCATTCAAAATTAGAGTGCCAAATTATCATTACTGAGTCTACATAAATGAATGCACCTGAGAAAAATCTATAAAAGGCAAAGGCTGAGGACAGGGCCATTTTCACTGTTCCTTTGCTCTACATGTAGCTGTAGACTGAGTCAATTAAGTCAGTAATTTCTAGAAATGCTTAAGTCACAGTTTGTTGTGGTTTCTCTGCATTGCCAGTTGACTTGCTAAAGGTCAATTTGCTTCAGCGTCAGTAAATGGTTAGAATATGAATTTTGTTCTGTCCTTATCCTGGGGTTTATAAAACCACAAGATTCCAAGTTAAGTTGTAACTAGTGGGATGCTGTAAATGCTCAGTAGAGATGGAGAAATGGAAAGTTATTCTGCTATGTTCTATGCCATGCAAATTCAGATAGTGATCCCTAGATGAATGTGGTCAGAGTTATGCCCATTAGGAAAGCATATGATTGATGGCATTCTGATGAACTTTACCGGTCCCAAATAGTAACCCTTTCTTCTGGGTTTCAAGGGCCAGCAGAATTTATCCACTATTGAGTTACATGCATTATTATTATTATTATTTATCATTATTATTCTTTAAGTTCTGGGATACATGTGCAGAACGTGCAGGTTTGTTACATATGTATACACAGTTACACAGTATGCTATGGTGGTTTGTTGCACCCATCAACTCATCATCTACATTAGGTATTTCTCCTAATGCTATCCCTCCCCTAGTCCCCCACCCCTCAACAGGCCTTGGTGTGTGATGTTCCCCTCCCTATGTCCATGTGTTCTCACTGTCCAACTCCCACTTATGAGTGAGAACATGCGGTGTTTGGTTTTCTGTTCCTGTGTTAGTTGACTAAGAATGATGGTTTCCAGCTTCATCCATGTCCCTGCAAAGGACATGAACTCATCCTTTTTATGGCTGCATAGTATTCCATGGTGTATATGTGCCACATTTTCTTTATCCAGTCTATCACTGATGGGCATTTGGGTTGGTTCCAAGTCTTTGCTATTGTGAACAGTGCTGCAATAAACATACATGTTCATGTGTCTTTATAGTAGAATGATTTATAATCCTTTGGGTTTATACCCAGTAATGAGATTACTGGGTCAAATGGTATTTCTGGTTCTAGATCCTTGAGGAATTGCCACACTGTCTTCTAAAATGATTGAACTAATTTATACTCCCACCAACAGCGTAAAAGTGCTTCTATTTCTCCACATCCTCTCCAGCATCTGTTGTTTCCTGACTTTTTAATAATCGCCATTCTAACTAATAAATTTATGACACACTTTGACTTTTGAACTGATTCCTTAAAATATAATTTTATTTATAGGAAGTTTTGTTTAGGAAATTTGAAGGTACTAGAGAAATCATCCATATTTTTTGGTGTCTGCCAATACTTTTGATTTCAAGATCACCATTTATAGCATAATGCAGTTTCATATTTTATATTCCTTGCTACCCTTATGAATTGACAGGATGAACATACTGGGTACACATTCAGCTTGAAAAGTGCCAGAACAAAAGCAGACATATTTTGAAATTAATGTCACACATTTGGGTTGAGCTATGAATTGCTATTGATGGGATATGCTACTTTCAAACATATTTCTATTCACAACATGAAAATATGATCAAAAGAAATTCCATAGAATGGTATTTGGTATAATTGTATTTATTTATTATCCATTCAATTTTCTAAGAGGTAGTCACTAATTTGTTACTTTTGAGGTAGGCATTCATCTACTCATTTATTTGATAAATTCATTCATATATTAATTGTACAAATATATAGTTGGCCATCCAATTATCAGCAAGATATACTGTCTCAGAAAATGCTAACGATATTAATAAGAATAAGACAGGTTCTCACTCTCAGGGAACTTACAGTCCAATGAACGTAACAGACATGTCAATAACGGCTTTATAATGGAAAAACACTATAATTAATGCCATCATATAGAGTGATCATAACATCACAGAAAAGTGAGAACAAATACCTCTGTTTCATAAAATTTAGGAAGGCTTTTCAGAGAGTTTGACACTGAGGTGGGCCTTGAGGATGAAGCAGAGATTCAACAGGCAAGAAAAGCCAGATGTGACTCTAAAAAAATAGATTTTTAGGGACTTATAAGTAGATCAGCAACACTGGATCATAAAGGATGTGGTAGGATGAAGAATAAGGAGAAGGAATGGGAAGATGATGTTGGGCTTCATGATGATCAGTCTCCCCTTTACACTCTTTCAATAGAAAATTATAGATATGTGTTTAAATAACAAAAGGACATTTTCTTATCTGCTTATAATGGTGGCAGTAGAACGAAGATGAAAATTAAACAGTGCCTTGACCAGACAATGCTGGAAAGTTATCTAGGGGCAACTAGAGCTAGGAGGAAGTTAGATTGTCATCAGTAAAGCTGTCCCTGATACTCAACTTTTTCCTCAAACTCCTCCTTTTGTCCAGAAAAGAAACAAAAAAACACTATATATTTTAAATATGTGAAGGAGCTTGCTAATTTAAAGACATCTTACTATGAAAGATGCTTGTTTTTGTCAAGAGCCTTATCTCAGTTTAATTTTTTATCAATATGGATTTCAGTATCAAGTGTGTTTAAATTTAAATATATCCAAATTAGGTCAAAATAATTACTCTTTTCATAGCACTTCTGAGGTTTGACATAATGGCAAATTTATTTATTTGTTTATTTATTTATTTATTTCCATAGGTTTTTGAGGAATGGGTAGTATTTGGTTACATGAGTAAGTTCTTTAGTGGTGATTTGTGAGATTTTGGTGCACCCATCTCCTGAGCGGTATACACCGAACCTAATTAGAAAAGGACATCCCTTATGTACATATGAAGAAAATAAATGGGCACTCCATGACTATGTCTATAAAACAATATGTAAGCCCAGTGGAAAAACAGACTTATATGGATCCTATTTATATCACTCCTAACTCATGTGCTACTGTGAGTGAAAGTTGCTGTTTTATGGCACGTGTATGTATGTGCACAGCTTGGCCTTAATGCTAAATCATAAATTCTTTAAGAGCCTAGATATAAGACCATATATGTTGCCTCTCTGTATTCTTCCAGCATCAATTTTGGTGCACTATGCATAGTGGATGTTGAATAATCATGTAGTAAAATGAGAGATGATTGAAAAAGTGTGCAATCTAATTGAGGAGACAAAGTTTATACGCATAAAAAGTTACAATACAAAGGATGTCACAAAATGGTATGTAATAGAGTGCCAGAAGAATGATCAAGTTAGTAACACCTAAGAGTTCATGTTGGGAAAAAACCCACAGATGAGAGTGGAATGAACTTTTCCTTGAAGAATGCATCAAAATTTGAAAGGAGAGAAAAGATGTGTAGGTGTATTAGGCTCTAAGATATCTGAATGAAAATATCCAACTATCAGGCTTATTTAACATAACTTTAAAACATTTGCTAAGAAAATGTTGGTAATGGGACCAAAGTTGTGAAATCCTCCACCCACAAAACTGGATCAGTAAATTAGCTCTATCCTATTCTATTACCAATGTATGTACCGTCAAAGTTAAAGCATTACCCCAATATATGTATCCCTAAGTTAAAGAGTTAAATAGCAATTGGTGCTACTGCTCAGAAAGGAAACAAGGTGAGGAGCTGTTGATGAGGCCTTGAAGCCCAGCCCTATTACTTAAAAGCAAACAAATCAAACACCCCAATCAAAATGCATGACCACTGTGGCCATTCTTTTCCTAATAAAATATTTTCCTACATTTTTTACATGAGATGGACAGATATTCCGTGGCCAGCACCATCAGATATATCCAGAGCCACCTACAATTAACAGTTTGCTAGATGAAAACAAATACAGATGGAGAGGCTTAATTGGAATAAAATATTATACAAACTCAAAGGTAGAGTCACAGAGTCAATACCACTGGCAGACTCTAATGGCAATGGCTCCTATTATTACTCCAGTGACAGCCACCCTGTGTGAAAGGGCCAAAGAGTCATACACACAGCTATAGCAACTGTGGGCAGATTCGGAAGAGTCAAAGTTAGATCCCCAAGGAAATTGATATATGCCTAGGGTAGCACTCTAATGGCAATTTATCACATGAAAGAAAAGGCCAACAGCAATACTGTTATGCTTCCTTTCATAGCTGATGGGACCCTAGGAATGAAAGCCATTTATGCATATAGCAGCAATAGTGTTACATTCCCCACAATGAGGGTGGAATTATCTGTGCAGTCAGCGAATGCTCCCCAGGTATTTTCTGTGTGTGAGGACCTGCTCTAGGGAAGATTTCACCTGTACATGAATAAATGGAAATTGCCACCAATGCCATACAGATAGATGCTATAAGCGAGTGATTCTCAATATGATCTCCAGAATGCAGCATCAGATCTCCCAGGAATTTAGAAGTATGCGTTTTGGGAGCTCTTCCCCAGAATATTAAATCAGAAATTCTAGTAGTGGGGCCCAGAAATCACTGTTTTACATGCTCCCCACGTAATTTTGATGCAAGCACAAGTTTGAGAATCACTACTATAAACATTTATAAAAGAAAAAGATGTAGTATACATAATCCCTTGTGATCATCCCCATTCATTGAGAGGTGGCCGCAATTAGCAAAATGCAGTAACATTTTTTCTAAAGGAAAATACCTTTCTATACACAGAAACATTTATTAATATATTCAGTCTGGAAAGCATTTGTTGAGTACCCACTATATGCTTGGTATTGCTCTAAGCATCAGCTAAGGAAAAATTAAGAAAACATATGCCCTCTCTTAGAGGATCACACAGCCTCGTGGGGCAATAACTATGTCTCCCTTTTCATTCCAGGCATTTGTTTAATGTGTTTTTAGTTTAGTTACTATTCATTAAATTGAGATGACCCATCCGTTATGAATCAACTCTAGGTTCAACTTACTGATTTTAAATGAAAATTTACCAGTGTTTGTCATTCATTACAGTATAATGCACCATTCTATTTTATTGAAACTTTTCTATAATGATATAAAAAGGAACCTGCTCTGTTGATTAAATGTTAATCCCAGTGAGAGTTGTAAAAGCTACAGAAATTAATATTGAACCAGAGAGCCTTTTCCTAACAAGGGATGGAGATGCTCAGGCCACCTCGGGACTAAATCACAGGGCGACTTTCAGGAACTAACAGTCATCTGTTAATTAACCTCTAGGTTTCCCCCATAAAGGGGTCACAAATGAGGTTTGGAGGAGCTAGTTGGCAGATTGTAAAGCTGAAAATAAGCATCCTATGAGAAAATTGATTGTCAGGAAAATTAGGAGGAGCTCAAATTGTTGATTTTTTTATTTTTCTAATTTGCTTGAAGCTTCATCAAATGTTTGAAGTCTTTTCAGGGCGGGGTGGGGGGGGGGTGTGGTGCAGGTTTTTCCAGTGTTATTTTATTATTATTGAAGTTCACAAATCAGTAGCACTTTATTGCCCAAATAACATGCAGAATAGGGAGGCATTTATTTTCTTTTCTGCTTTAACGGGAAATACATAGAGAACCCCAGGAAAGATTTACAGTTTGCCTGGAATCATACAACCCATCAGCGTCAGTATTAGTGTTTGCATTTGATAGTCTGTTTCCCTTTTCCTTCCTCAGAATACACTGAAAGCTGGCCTCTGAGTTCTGACTAGAACTCAGCAGGGAGGGTGGCCTGAGGCTTAACGTTTTCTATCTAAAGGTATATCCTGACTTATGTGAATCTGTGGAAAGGTTTAGAAATCTTACCTATTCTGTGAGAGGCCAGAGAGCTCTGGGTTGTGGAATAGGTTGAGCTCTGGATTGTAGAATAGGTTGCATTAAATGGAAGAGTAGATAACCAGGCAGGAATCCATGTAGAAGATGGAAATGAAGGGCCTTTGACTTCAGGAGGAGCCATGACCCGTAATAGATGTGATGCCCCAAATCTGGGAGAATAACATTGGTTCTGATTTGCCAGAGTAAGAAGAAGGCAGATCTCAGGCTCAGAATAGCTGGGTAGAGAAACCCGAGAAGTATCAGTTTGACTGGCTTCTCAGCTGGACTTCATATCTGCTTAGAATCACACAGAGAGTTTGCACCTTTAAAACTGTGTCACTCCAACTGATAAATCTTCTCCTGATTAAATTATTGGCCTGAGTATCTTTGGTTTCCCTGAAGGGACCAAGGGACTCCTGTTACCAACCCCGAAGCTGTTTAAAAGTCTCTTCATCCTTTTGAGGGTGGCTGCAAAAGCCCACAGCCCACTAAACTACAAAAAAAACCAAACCCACATACCGAGCAATACCGCAAACAGAGCCTTGGTTTTTTCTCTCCAACCAAAACAACCCACTACTTGTTTGAGTGGTCTTGTGACCATAATTGCTGGGTGGATAATAGTATTATTGTCTTTAGACACAATAAACACCTCCTTTCCTAGCCAATAGTAAATTTCAATCTAAACATAAAAATACTCTTGATCTACCTTTCACTGTGTTCCCCTGAATCTGCTTGCCTTTAATTGTGGTGTTAGTCCTCTGAAAGCTCAGGTTAGCAACTTCACTGAACAGAAAATAAACACAAAGGATTGTTGTCTATTTAACTTCATCAGTAGCTTTGGCTTGTACAGTTGATAGATGTTACAGGGTACTGTTTTTCCCCTCTCCCATTTCCCCGTTTATTTTACTTCTGATGACTTACCCGCAGGCTGTGTGTCTGGGACTTGGAACGGGAAATAGTCTCTTTCTCAAAGTGAGTTGCCAATCTGTCAGACATCCCTGCAGCTCTCAAAGTCTTTCATTAACTATTTTTCAGATAAACCTTCCTTGCAACAGCTCATTTGAGCTGCTCTCTGATGCCATTGGCTCAAGCCCAAACCTCAGGTTAAAAACATGTATTATTAGGGCTCCTCTGGTTTCAGTTTCCTTGAAAACCAGAGTTTACTGGCAAACAGTATCAATTTGACTAAGCCTAGTACAGGTGTTCATTATTAGGATGGGGCTCTGGAAGCTGCAGGAAATAACTCCTAAGGGTCTGACCTCCAAAACCTGCTGCCCACTGACTTATGCTTTTAAAAACATTGGAAGCAGCAAGGAAAATAATTACAAATCTGAGGCTAGGTGTGGTGGCTCACACCTGTAATCTCAGCGATTTGGGAGGCCAAGGCAGGAGGATCACCTGAGACCAGGAGTTGGAAACCAGGCCAGGCACTGTAGCAAGACCTCCACCTCTACAAAAAAAAAAACCACTTTAAAAAATTAGCCAGGTATGGTAGAGCACACGTGTGGTCCTAGCTACTTGGAAGCCAAGGTGGGAGAATCCCTTGAGCCCAGGAGTTCAAGGCTGTAGTGAGCTATGATCACACTTCTGCACTCCAGCCTGGGCAACAGAGTGAGACCCTGTCTCAATAATAATAATAATAATCATCATCCTAATTCTGTTGCAAATAGTATTCAAGTAAATGAAACCTGAAGGCTAGTGTCATTCAACACAGCAATAGAAAGACGAGGATGCCTTGGGTATAGGAGTTGAGATCTATTTGGACCAAGTTTTCTGAAGGTATGGCTTTAGAGATGAGCTTCTCAGGCTGCACCTGTTGTTTTTAGCTCATAGTATTGTAAATGGTGCTGGATTTAGCCGATGACAATTTACCAGCCTATCGTGAATTTACCAGTAGGTAGGGTACTGTGTGGTACAAATCAACTATGGTGTGGATTGAAAAGCATGCTATGAATTGAGAATTAAAATACGCATTTAGGAAACAACACAAAATTGCAAAAATCATGGAACCTGAATCTGAAAGGGGTCTTAAAAATAATCTAGTCTAGTAATTTTTAATCCTGACTGGAAATTAGAATCTAGGTAATTGGCCTGTGGTTGGAGCCCAGATATTGGTATTGTTTAAAAACTCTCACACGCGATTTTAATGTGCACTTAGTTTTAACAATCACTTTTCTGGAACAGTGGTTCTAGACTAACTTTGTGTTGTAAGTATGAACAGGTTTTAGAATTTCCTGAAGTTTGTCAAAACATTGATCCCTGGGCTTTAGTCCCAGATATTATGATTTAGCAGGGCTTGGTTTTGTTCCAGGAATTTTCATCTGTAATAAGCTCCTGGTGATACTGATGCAGGTGGTTAGGTGACCACATTCTTGGATCCACATCCAGGCCAGTGGTCCTCAAACTTTGTTGTGATTATTCATGAAAATATAAATAATATAGAGATTAAAATATGGATTGCTAGGTCTCACCCTCAGAGTTTCTGATTCAAGATTTGCATTTTTACAAGCTCCCATTGGTCCCACACTGTGAGAACCACTGACTCAGGTCATTCGAGGATGAGGAAGTACATGTTAGAACCATCTGATGTGCTTTCTTCAAACTATATCTGCATCGTCCCCTCTACATTCCATGAGATTCCGTATGGTCCAAGTCAGAAATCATTGATACAATAACCCTCTGTTATGAATGGGCATGTCATTCTTTCATTTCATAGTTAAGGATATTTAGGTTTAGAATGAAAATGACTGAACCATGATCACACAGATATTGGGAGTGTACCTGTGGTCAGTGCCTGCAACATATCTCATCCCACAGTGAAAGCCCTGATGGACATTCCAAAGAAGAACAGAGGGGAAAGTCTAATTTCATCACTTCTCAGATTAGCCTAGTACTGGCCCTGGCTTCACCACAGAGGAATGAATGAAAGGTAAACAGCTTCCATTGCAAAGAAAAATAACATCTGTATAAGATTGGAAGAAGATCCTAAAGGGACATAACATTATATTCTTCCTCCTTTTTGCCAGAAACAGGATGCTATTGGTATTGCATAGTTCGATTCCAATCCTGAAAAAAAGTGGAAGATGGAAGTCAACTTTATGGTCTTTCCATATTTTATTTTCTTGGTCTTTCTTTCTATAAACCAAAATGAACTTCACTGCATTTTTTGAGTAGACAGGAACACACCAAAGTAAATAATGTACCACCCATAAGTGGAGCATGGGATCACAGACAAAGGCATTAGCAGCAGGAGTATTGCAACAAGTTTTCCCCTCACCTACACACACACACATTCTTAAGCCCCTGATATTAGTGAGGAATGATAGTGCCTTAAATAAAATGCACTGCCCATTAGAACTAAGTTTTTCTTCTTCCATCAACTTGCATTGTACATAAAGTAAATATGAATTGGGTTTACACATATACTACCCTTTCTCACTATCGGTAACTGCCATTAGAAGACTTCACTATACAGTTTCAGTCACAGCTTATGTGCAGTCATCCTATTAATAGCATTAGCATGTGGCAATGTATCATCCAAGCTTTCTAATTGGTTGAGTTGCCTTTTTGTTTTACTGAACATGAGAGTGACTCATGCAACTGCCACCCTTCGGCACAGATAGAGGATTTTCTGTTATTAGGCTGAAAAATACCATATTTCAGTTTACTAAATTGCACATCAAGAACCTCAAGACAATTACTATACTTCACTCTATGAGCCATCTATTCATCTGCTACCAGCCACTTACCTAGAGCTTCACGTTGATTCTGAAGCATAATTAATAGATCAAGTGGCTTCTTATTCACACATAACTGAATGAGCATGTGTGCTCTACCAGGCAGGCAATCTGTGCGCCTCATAACGCAGATTTGATTTTGACTTATTGGCATTTATGCCAAGAATTTGTGGACTCGAATAGTTGACACATAGCGCTACACTGGCAGCTTTAAAGCTGATACACAGATTTGTGTCTGACATTAGCTGTCCCAGTGGTGCAGTCTGTGACACTTCTCCCAGCCATGCAACTGTAAGACGCCTTCCAAAGATTTGGTAGAAAAGCAGCGTGCCCATATGATGGCATAAGCAGGTTAAGTATATTTCCAGTCACCCTACCCCCAATAGATCCAGGGATATGCCCAAATAGAATAGAGTTGCTTGATTATAAGGTGGTGCTCAGTTGCATTATGACTCCTATTAAAGTTTGACCAGTGTCCTTGGTAAATAACTCAAGTATTCTGCTCCCTTCCCCCAGTCCCCTTGAACTAGGGCAGTTTTTGAATCTATGAGCCACTCTGAGTATGGCAAGATGATAACCTTCACTGACAACCAATGCTCAAAGCAGGACAAAGACCCAGATAGCCTGTCTTCATCTCAGAAAGAAAAGCAAGTATGAATTCTTAATTCCTTCTGGTTCTCTTATTCTCACTTTAAAACCAACTTCCTCTGGTCAAACAATTTCTTTGAATCTGTTTAAACTATATATTTCAGTTAGAGGATGCAAAACCAGAAATTAGAGGAAAATAAAATTGGATCTCTCTTTTGTGCCTAGCTATATGCTTGTTGGCTTAAAAAACACACAGTCTGATTTTAGATATTAAGATCCATAATGGTGAAGCAACATTTGAGGGTCCTTCTAAGTGTTCATGAGCTACAAAGCAGAGAAGAAAAATCCCTTGGGAAGAAGTCAAGAGATGATAGGCTCCAAATTGATCCTGCCTCTTATAAACTATTGTAGCTTGGGGATGTGCCTGTTTATACACCAAGTTTCTGTTCCTTCATCTTCAAAATGGAAATATTACTTTATAATTTTGGTTTAAGAACCAGATGACAGCATACATGAATGTAGAAGCCTAAAAGTGTGTATAATATTATACACACATACACACACAAAAAAAAATCTGTAACAAGATGTTCTACCCTTACATAGATGTGAAAGGCAAGAAGATGATAAGACTTTTGGTAATGGAGGGGACAAACTTCTGCAAAATAGGCTGTATAAACTCCAAGTGCTAATACACTCAATGTTCGCTATGTATAAGAGAGTGTAGTATGCTGAGGGAAGTGTAATAATGAATACAACTAACAATTTCTGACTTAGTGATCTGGGGAAAAAGATGGATATGAGGAATAACTAATATTTGCCTAATGAGACAAGTGGCCATGATGCTTGGCCACAAAACTGTTGCCCAGGACTCAGGATGCTGCATTTCTTCTCTTTCCTTCATCCTAAGAGACCATGAGTCTCCTTGGAGACCTGCGAACTCCACCATGTGACAAGAGCAGATGCCAACCTGGGTTTCTTCAGACTGCACAGTAGCATAAAAGGTGGAAGCCATTCCACTCATCAGCAAACACAAATGACTATAGTGTGAAATCCTACCCACAAATTTAAAATAAATGATGCAAACTTCTTTATTTTTAAATTTATTAGGGTAAAAATGTTCAATGATTGCTACTAAATTGGAGTGTCTGTAGGCAGGGTAAACCTCTGCCAGGCTTCCCAGGAGCCCAAGACTGTAACAGCTGTCCCTTCTGTGCCCATCCTGGTGTGCTCACCAGACGATTGACAGAAGCAGCATGAGAAGGTTGTGGATGTCTCCCAGCAGGTAGAGCTTTGGAAATAGATCCACCTACCTCCAAAGGGATATGCAGTCACTGTTTCATTACTGAGAAATGGGGAAAGAACAGAAATACATTCATGGAAGAAATGTTTGTGGGAGAGCCAACAACCTGAAGATCTGATACAGGATCCTCATAGAGGGAAGAATGTTTCCCCTATTACAGATCTTTTGCTGCCTGGGTCTTCTGTTTGTGGCGGGGAAAGCATAGAAACCTTAGGGAAGAAACATCCTCTCCCCAAATCCCACCTTTGCCCTGCACTAGTGCTATAACTTCTGGCATATTGTAATGTAAGTCTCAGTCTCTCTATATGAAAAATTGGTATAATACTCTCCTTGTTTGAACTGGAAGCAATATGTGTGAAAGGTTAGTACTTAATAGTTTCTCAATACAAGAAAGTGTTTGTTTTTATTCATTGAATCAATCAACAATAATCAATTAGATATACACTGTATGCCAGACTTTCATGAAAGAAGGGGCTCGCTGTCCTTGTAAAATAAATCAAATGATGGAGGACCTAGGGAGGTGCACACAGCTTCAAAGATTCAGTGATCCAACAAGATAATTGATTTTTAAGTTATTATTTAGCTTCTGCTAAATTATTCTGTTTCCTTGTTGCAAATGTAACTCCTACCATAGAAGTAATTTTTTATAAGTGCCATCAGTTTTCTCCTGAAATCCATATTGCTTTTTGCATGACTATGTACTATGTTACCATATAAAGTATTACAATAATTCAGAATTTCTCAATCTCATCACTATTGACAGGTTGGGTCAGATAAATCTTTATTGACCTGTGCTCTGTAAAATGTTTAGCAACCTCCATAGCCTCCACCTACTGCGTTATTAACATAAGATTGTCAGAATGAGCCAATAAAAATCCAAGACGTCCAGTTAAATTTGAATTTCAGATAAACTATGACTAATTTCTTAGTAGAAATATGTTCCATGCGATATTTGAGATATACTAAAAATTATTTGTTGTTTATTGAAAATTCAAATTTAAGTGTGTACCTTATCTATTATTTGGCAGGTAGGACTTCCCCAGTGTGACAACCAAAAATGTCTGCATACATTGCCAAATACATGCTGGGAGTGCAAAACTGGCTTCTGGTTATAAGCCACTGCAAAAATGAACTCATCGACAAGATGAAATGGAAGCACAGAGTGACTCTTCAGGTGGGCTCACCCTGTGCGTATGCAGCCAGCGCTGAGCAGTTCCAGGGAGGGTGGATACACATATTCTTCCCCATACACACTGGGCAGAGAATACACAACTAACACCCAGCAGAAGACATAGTTTTTGATGAATGGCTATCCTCGGTCCTGAACGATCTCTGGCTATTAATACATATTGGTCTTACCAAGTGTCCACTGTGTGGAGACACTTTTGCCCAAAAATATCTCAAATGCACTTGAGCTTATAGTCGAAGCTATCATTTATACGTCCATGTGGATCATATACTTAATAACACACAGCTTGACCTGACCATGCCTGGAAAACTCATTTCCAAAATATACTCATCCCCTACATATTTTCACGTGTGTGTGGGAAGGCTGCTGAAAGCAGAAGAGAAGGCCCTGGAAGGAAAAATGTCCAAAGAATACATCTCACCTTCTCTCTCCAGTTTACCTGCAGGAAGCTGACAGAAAGTTGATGGCCCAAATAAAAACTTTGCTGAAATACTCCTAGCAAAGGTTTTTTTTTTTCCCCTACACATTCTAAAAGTACTGGAAATAGCCATGCAAAATACAGTATAGATTTCCGTGGGGAAAAAAAAAAGTGGCACTTATAAAGGAAAATGCTTCTGCAATAGTAGTTTAATTTGCAACCAGAAAACAGTAATTTGGCAGAACCTAAATAATAAATAAAAATTAATTCTCTTGTCTGATCCTGGAATCTGGAGAGCTGTGTGTCAACAGCCTGGTTTATGGACTGTGGCTACAAAGCAACAAATTACTAGAAAGATACATAGCACATCTATGAATTTTAGAGCTGGAAAGACATTAGAAATCCTCTTTTCCAATGTCTTCTTCAGACACATGAAAAGTTGCCTTCTCCTAATGCCTCAATTAGCAGAAAAAAAAAATAGAGAAGTTGAACGTCACACCTAACATGAAGCAAGTTGGTGACAGAACTAAGACTGAGGCCTCCAAAGCTCGCCACTGGGTCCACAGATGTTAATGTTATTCTAGGCTTTCATGCCTAGCAATGCAGGCTGAGCCCTGCCTGGTACCAGGGAGAGCCCCTCACATAGACCACGATGTGATTAGTATGCCCATGGATGCATGTGCCATGCTGAAGAACACCCTCCAGGGTTGTCAAGGGTCAACTCTGGGCAGTGGAGCATGATTGGTGGTGGCGAGCAAAGGAAAACATTTACTTTTTACTTTTAAAACTAGATATTGGTTAAACTTTTATAAATGTGTATTATTTTCCTATCCAAAGCAAAATGTAAAGAGAAAAAGAGTTCTTTTGGATGTAACCTATGAGAATCCCATTCATTGCAGCAGAATATTTGAAAGAGTAGAGAGCATTGCAATAGGCCTCAAACAATGAGGCCAGAACAAACTATAAATAGAAATATCACATTCTTCTTCTTAAATATAGACAGTTTTTGTTCATAGATCATACTTCATTAAAGCTGGAAGGACAGAAGGAAGGAAGGAAGGAAGGAAGGAAGGAAGGAAGGAAGGAAGGAAGGAAGGAAGGAAGAAACAAAACAAAACAGCCTGGCTTTGCCCTCCCTTGCATTGGAAAGATCTTAAAGGAAGCTGGTGTCTCTGCTGCTGGTAGTAGCTCTGTCCAAACACATAGCAAGGGCTTGCAGAAGGAGATTGCTGCAGCTTCAATACACGTGAAAACAATATACCATTCTTGTGCCCTGAAGAGCTGGGAAATGTCATCATCCAGACTCGCTCTCTGGTCTCCTGTAATTTACCAATTTTTTTCTTCTCCCTTCCCACAAGATCCATTTATCCTTTGTCCTGATGTCCATGATGTCATCGGTGTTCACACACCTTCAGTAAGTCTCATAGAAAACAGGCTGCTGGAGGGCAGAGCCATACCTGCTGCAAAGCACTAACTCACTGCTTAGTACATTAGACAGGAAGCAAAGAACATGATCAATAGTTGTTGCCATTTAAGAATCTTTCTTCTATGTGTCTATTTCAATTGAAAGTGCTATTAAGAAAATATGAGAAAGACATTTTCAGCTGAATTCGGTGTAATTTGCTACTGATGAAATAAAACATCATACATCTCACCTTAGCTACTCTGCCCTTTCTGCTTCATTTTGTTCTTCAAATTGGAGTTAAACTACTGGCTTTTAAGTAGCTACAACTTATGGCATCAAAAACCAGAGCTACTCCCGTAATGGTATCTGTAATAGGTACTAGACTGGAGAGTTAGTTTCAATGAGGACATTGAGCTTATGGTGAAAGGTGATTTTTGATATATGATACATGTTGTGTAATGTGTACAAACTATGTGTGCAATTGTAATATATTAGAAATTATATATGGGAAACAAAACAGCACCAGCAATTAAATTCCCAACAATCTCTTTCCCTAATTTCTAAAACCAAAATTTGCTTATCCTGCTGTGTATTACTTGGCTGTCTTTCCCTCTGCCTAAACCATCTCAATCAAGATCTCCCAACACACATTTTCAGAAATAATGTATACACCTTGGGGTTTAAAAATCAAGGCTCTCCAAGATAATTAGCTTGGTTAATTAATATATCACTCCATTTCTTTCAAAACTCATTATGCTCACAAAAGGCCTATTGGACCAACAGAAAAGGAATGAAAATAAATGACTAGGGAAATATTACTCAAGAAAAAACATCATTTACTGATTGAAAAACTAATATGAGGATTACCAAAATCCCCTAATGACATTTCATCACAAGGTTTAAATTTAAAATCATGTTTGAGGGCAAAAAATGAAAGCTATATCTTTGTTAAGATCTTAAAACTGGAATTTAATACAGGTCTTTTGAATATGGGAAACCCCCTAAAAACCCAATCACTGTTGTTTGGTAATCTGGCAGATGGGAAATGTTCTGAAATAGCGGTTCAGAAAGATTTGGATTTGGATGCTGTTTTGCCCCCTGGAAAAGTTACTTAGGCTCCCAGAGCCTCTGTTTTCTCACCTGTGAAATGGGAAAATAACATTAATGTTGGCTAATATTGAGTTCTGACCTTATGCTAGATGTCTAGAAACAACCTAAAGGTTTCTGGTGAGGATTGAATAAGAATCTACCTATATCTGCGTAAGTATACACATATATATGCATACACATCTGTGCTATCTATATATCATGCTCAGCATGATCCCTGGGACATAGTATACACCAAACAAATATTATTTTCTACTAATTAGATGGCTATTATAGCTCGCAGCACCAATATGTGAAGAGGTAATTTTAAAAGAGGAAAACAATTGTCAACTATACCAAGCACTACACAACAATAATTAAATATTTTTTAAAAAACCTTACAGATGACTGGAATTACTTAAGAGAAAAAGATAATTAATTCATTTGGTCTAGCTAGGTTAAACTTTAGATTCGACTTTCCAAGTTCAAGGAATTTACATTCCTCCCTGAAAAATATCACTAATTACTACTACTACTACTACTAACACTACTACCACTATCAATTGGTTATATAGAATCACTTCATCCTCTGAGTGTTTTTAAACTGTGGAACTGTTCCCCTGGAATGGGATCTTCTTTGGAAGCTGGGAATAAACTAGCTGCTCTAAAAGTGTGTAATTTCAGGCCAGGCACAGTAGCTCACGCCTGCAATCCCAGCACTTTGGGAGGCTGAGGCATACAAAAATAAGTCAGATGTGGTGTTGGGGGCCTGTAGTCCTAGCTACATGGGAGACTGAGGCAGGAGAATTGCTTAAAACCTGGAGGCAGAGGTTGCGGTGAGCTGAGATCATGCCACTGCACTCCAGCCTGGGTACTAGAACAAGACTCTGTCTCCAAAATAAATAAATAAATAAAAATAAAAATGTGTAATTTCAAAATGAAGCCTTGCTGGCTATTTCATACCACACATTCCACTTTATTGGGACAAGAAAATAGAGCACCCAGACAAGTGCATTCCCGTTTATCTTCTACATTTGCTTTTTCAGGGAATTTTAAGCAATGGTTGTGAACCATTCACATTTAATTTTCCTTTGCTCTATGCACTTTTTATCACCCTAGAAGGCATCTGAGCTTCTATAAAAATTTCTGGTTCTCAAGAAGTCTGAGTTTTGGTTATGTGTTTCATTATTATATAGAGAGCTATTCCACGAACTAATTATTTGAAGAACCCATTAATTAAGATTAGTTCTTCATGTTTTTATAAACACTGGCTTATATCTCTCTTTTCATTATTATTGCTTGTGTATGTTACCCAAAAAATGGACTCTTTTCCTTGGGGATTGTGAAAGGTCTCTTCATCAAATATGAATGCAGTGAAGTAGTTTAATTTTCAGAATAGACTATGCAAATATGTACTTTTAGTTCTGTTTATAATTGTCATGCAATTCTGCTAATTGTCCAAATGAAACAAAGTCCATTTCTGAATCAGGCATACAAATGCGGGCATAAAAAAGACGACTTGGTAACTTTAAAAACAAGAGCTGATGAGTATTTTTTGAACAGTCAACTCTCCTGCTACACAGGGTCTTCACCCCGCCACGCCACCCCAGGGACAACAGCAAAAGCTTTTGTTACCTTCATTTCTGTTGTGGAATTTTTTTGTGATCTTGAACTACCCTTGGAGAACTGTGGACTCTTCCTCCACACTGCAGAGAATGGTCTCCACAGGAATGTGGTTACAGATGAGACAATGTCATCGTGTTTGACATCACTCATTCATGAATGTGTTTCAGGTGTTGCTGCAGATTTAAATTATTGCTGGGATAAAGGGAACAAAATGATTCACACAAAGAGCTTTAGCAAAGGCATGCCAGGATTGCACCCTAACCTCTGAAGGAAGCTCGGTAGGAAGTGTCACTCCTTAGTGCACAGAGGTCTCTAATGATTATAGGGGTTATGTGACATTAATCATTCAGCCTCAGTTCAGTGAATCTTATGTTCCCTTGAGTGCCCAGTGTTGGGCTGCTATTGAGAAGTTCAAAAACAAGTTGACTATACAGTTTCTAGTCATAAGAAATTTATTATTCTCAATTAGATAATTGAGAAGACAAATAGGAAATAAACAGAATTAAAATGCTATTTTAATATATTAAAAATAATGTAAACAAAATTTTAAGTAAGAAAATAAGTGATTGTGATAGGGGAATTTTAAGTGATCAGAAAAGCAATTCTTAAAGGAAGTGCTAAGTGACAGATGAGTTTGCTTACATACATATACAAGAATGAGTTGGTGCTGTTCCAGCTAAAGAAAAACCAAGAGAAAAATTCAGTGGAATGAAAATTTCTGTGGTAAATGTATAGAAGCCCGTTGACTGATTTGGAGGATGAGGTTTTGAAATGTTGTTATATCATACACCAACAGAAACTCCAAATTGAAGAGAGAAAGAGGAAAAATTACAATAATCATATGAAACACAGAGAAACCAGGAAAATGAAGGAAGGTGTTTTAGAAAAACAACATCTGAATAATTCATGAATGAAATCATAAAAAAATTAAAACTCCAAAATTTCAAAATGACATAAATAAAAAGAAGAGACTAGCCATAAAAGATGAAAGTTTATTTGACACTAATATAACAAAAATAATACACTTAATGTATATAAACAAATGCTACATAATATAAAATAAGCTATACCATATAACATTCAATGAGATAAATAATAAGATACAAATGGAAGAAGACTGGAAAATCATGTAATAGATAATTCACAGAAGTACAGTTGTCTAACCATCACATAAAAATATAATTAATATAAAACACTAATCCCTCTGATAATAAAAGATGCAATTTTAAAAATGATAACATTTCTCACCAGTCTGTTTCTTGTAATACCGCCTCTCTTGCATGGAATATGGTAAGATGGACAATCCTATAAATTTAGAGTAAGAGGTAAACATTGGTACTGCATTTCTGGAAAACTATTGCTGATATCTATCTTGAGCCTTTAGTACGTTCATGCTCTTAACTCAAGAATTTTGTCTTTGAGAATCTGTCTTAAGGGATGTATCAGGTGTAAGAAGGATCTAGCACAAAGACATTCATCCTAGCATCGTGTGTAATGGTGAAGAATTAGAAATGAATGTGCAAAACTAGAGAAATGATTAAATAAATTTTAATATGCCTATATCATACAATACTAGGGAATAATCTAAATTTTATTTGTGCATAATTTTTAAAACATGGTAATATTATTTTGATGAAATAATGAATGACATACAATATAAGAGTGAAGAATACAGTCTTAGAAGTAAAAGTGACTGATAGGCACCTCTGGATTGCCTCCTACACAGGCACCTGAGTATTACAGGTACGAGTTATGTAACAATGGAATCAAGCTATCTGATTCCCATTCAATTTACTCTGTCTCCTGTGTTCCCCATCTCCATTAAAGTCACCATCAATCTACCCACAGACCCAAGGCAGAACCCTGATATCATCCTCAATTTCTTAATTTCTGTAATCTCTCAGGTCAAATTGGTCATTGTTGGCTGTCTCCAAAATATCTCTCCAATATGTCGTCATTACAACACCAGAGTATTGGGTTCACTTCCAAAACTTTCTAGCCCAAATACTTGCAATAGTCCACAAATAGTCTCTCTGACTCCAGTCTTATCTCAGTAAAACCTGTCCTATAAGTTTTACCAAAATGTTCTCTATAAAATGGAAATATGATTATGGTATTTTCTTCATTAAGGCATTTATTTTATTTTAAAATAAAGGAACAGAATAGAATATAACAAAAGTATTAGTCACTGCATGTAGTTGTGGTTAATATAGCTTTATAAAACTTTTGTTTCAATTATATGTCAAAAGAAGTTTGAAAGGCACTGCTCTGTTCTGAGTTTCTTGGTGTTTTCTAAATAATTTTATTATAGCACGTAAATTATTGTGATTTTATTTGTCTGTTTCCTCTAATGACTGCGTGGTCTATGACAGCAAGAGATATTTCCTATTCATTTTTACATCTCTGAATATTAAGACATATGAAAGTCCACTTAGCACAGAACACCATTCAATGTATGTTAGATGAAAATGTACATGTGTGCAGCATGCAGCTTCTTTGACTTGGCTATTAGGGAGTCAGTCTTAGATCCTCATCCAAAGATATGTGACTCCTTAAGGAACTAAGAGGCAGCATTATTTGTTTCTCCAAAGCATGGACCAAGGAGACAGCTTTTTTCCAAGACTTCCAAATATGATTTTATTTCTGAACTTTAACTCCAAATTCTTGTTATAAATTTCCAAGATATAATTCTGTCATGTTTTAGCATTTGGGGTGGAATATGCTAAAGATGTCTTATACCATGAGAGTAGGATCAATAATTAGCAGCAGCTCCTAAGAATGAGCTCGCTAGGGCAGAAAAGAGAAGAGGAACAAGAAACAGCCGCCCCAGTGAAAGCAGACCTTGAAGCCAAAACCTATAGAGTTGAGGATCTGCAAATATTGATCCCGTTTGTTGAGACACTGGCACCTCAAACCAGGTCTGGAGCCCCCTCAGTGGTGGGACACAGGAAGTGAAGTCAGCCCTGTAATCGAGTCAAGGGCAGGACTAGGGTATAGTTATATTGAGTACATAACATAGGCATAGAAGGCCCAACTCTAGCTGGGTCAGGTTCCTCAATGTTGCTCCTGCTCCTGTTTTGCAACTGGAACTACTTTGATGTTGAATTCATACCTTGTGCCCAATGAAATATGTATCAGCCTGCTGGCCAAATACTCTATTCTTAGAAATAGTGTATTATTTGATAAGGTTTTCTTTCAGCATAACAAGATTCCACCCTTAGATGCTAAAAAATTGTCCTTTCTTTCTAAAATGCTGCACCAACTACATGCATCACCTCCCCCTTAAGTAAATCCAGATGGTCTGAAACAGAAATTTTCATCTACTATAGGATCAAAGTGCAGTCTTCAAAAATCAGTTTATAATTTCACAGTGATATCACTATAGTTCAAACTTGATTTGATTTTTTTTCTTAATGAGGCCCTTTAATTTATAAATTCAGCAACACTAATTATTCCACTTAAGAAATAATTAGTGCCCCCCTTTTTCCTTGTCTAATTAATACCTTGTATTCAAGCTGCTAAGAAAGGTTACAATGCCAAGTTGTTCTTTGTTAATTTTCTTTTTAAATAATTGATCTGAGTATGTTCCCTAATGGCAGGTATATAGCTTTAGAACAGCTCCTTTAAGTCTAGGTAAGCACAGAGATTATTTGCTCCTAGCTGAAAGAGACTAAAGAAGAATCTTTCATTTCTCTTCTGCTGCAGAGTCCCCATGCTACAATGGCCAGCCCCATATGGCCAGGTGAGAAAGAACAGACAGAACCATTTAATACATTGGGTGCAAGAAGCTATGTACGTAATTGATTCATACAATTTTAGATCTGGAATGGATCTTACCAGTTGTTTCTGTTTTGCATGACTCAACATCCTCATTTTATAATGATGGAAACTGAGGCCCAAGGACAGTCTACAAAGTTTATAAAATCACCTAAGATATTCAGAGACAAATGTAAAACTCATGGTTAAATCTCGAAATCCAGTGTTCTTCTACTGAATCAAAGTGCCCATCTGAAATGACCATTGATGTTTCGAAAGTGGGGAATGGAGTTTAGAGATGTGGGGAATGGAGAGATTTGTCTTGTGAGGGGGTTCCATCTGGCAATTTTTTCCTGCTAATTGCGTAGGTGCTTGGGTACCACAAGCTCAATCTAAAGAGACACTTGGTTCAACTGGTAAGATGGTATACTAAGAATCACCAAACAGGAAATTTAATTATATATTATCTTGCTAATTTGCAAGATGGTTTTGGACAATACCTCATTTATCTCAGAGCAGAAACTTTATTCTAGGGGACTGGTATAGTTTGAATGTCGCTCCTCTAAAATATATGTTGAAACTTAATCTTTATTGTGGTGACAGTAAGAGATAGGCTTTTGGGGAAGTGACTAGGTCATGAGGGATCCTCCATCATGAATGGA
The DNA here is from genome assembly GCF_000001405.40 of Homo sapiens. NCBI lineage: Eukaryota > Metazoa > Chordata > Mammalia > Primates > Hominidae > Homo > Homo sapiens. The sequence continues at coordinate 52,380,143 of NC_000018.10, read as the reverse complement.
TTAGTGACTTATAAAAGGGCTGGAGGAAACTAGCTTAGGTCCATTTTGCCTTTTCATCTTCTTCCATGTGTGGAAACGATATTCCTCCCCTCCAGAGGATGTGGCAAAAGGTACCCTCTTGGAATCAAAGAGAATAGGCCCTCACCAGTCACCAAACCTACCAGTACCTTGCTCTTGAACTTCCCAGCCTCCAGAACTATGAGAAATCAATTTCTATTCTTATAAATTACCCAGTCTCATGTATACTGTTATAGCAGCACAAACAGATTAAGACAGGGACATTATATAAATGTGAGGACCTCAAGAAGGTTTCAAGTCAAGGGTAAGAGACAGAGATTCCTAACTTCTGGTGGAACTTCAAGGCAAAGTACCAGATTTCTAAGCTGCTTCAGACTGTTCAATCTGTCCCTAAATTATCCAGGAACCTGATAACTAAGCCGAAGCTAAATAACTCTCAACTTTTGGTTAAGTGCTCATTCCCTACACTGCAAGCAGTGGAAGAAAAATAACAAAAATTACTAGAAAGACTTTCTGCCATTAAGTGATGCACAAATATTAAATAAACTCTTTGCAGCTAGGAAAGTGAATTAAAGGGCCATTACTGCTAATATTAATTATAGCTGAAAACAGTCATAACAAGCATGGCAGTGGAGAGGAGAGTGTTGAACAACAGAACAAATTAAATACGTGGTCAAAAGTGTTTTCTACAAGGGAAATAATTTTACTGGGCAAAAGTCCCAAGGCTAAGTAACCATACTAAGATCACAAGCTAATAAGCAGAAGAGCCTGGATTTAAAATCAGATCTTTTAGATGCCAAAGCCTCAACTCTCTCTACTACACTTTGATTTCTCACTAAGCAATGGGCATGTATCCAATCTGTTTTTGAAAAAAAAAACATTATGCTTTTGTAGCAAGGTCATCATTTGTAGCACTGCATCTCAAATAAACCTAGGAAAAATTGAGACAGAGGGAAAATAAAGCTAAATGAGTCTGTGAATAAGAAACATTTAAATGAAACATCACATTTCCCGTGGCACCTGAGAGAGGTTTGCTACGCAATATTTGATGGCTTTAATAATGAGGCACAAGATGCTTTAAGCAATTTCATTCATTTTTCTGTCCCCAAATAAACTGGTTTGTACCTATACTTTACCTTTCCTACAACAAGGGCACGTACACAAAACTCGCTATAGAAACCAAAATTCATTATTTTTCTCTCTGAAGAGGGAAAGAGTCTATTGCTAAGAGAATAATCATACTGTAACATGATAATATTAAAATAGTATATATATTTAAGCCAGGCTCAGTGGCTCACACCTGTAATCCTATCACCTTGGGAGGCTGAGGTGGGAGGACTGCTTTATCCCAGGAGTTCCAGAACAGTCTGGGCTACATGACAAAACCCCATATCTACAAAAAGTACAAAAAGCTAGCTGGGCATGGTGGTGTGCACCTGTAGTCTCAGCTTCCTGGGAGGCTGAGGTGAGGGGATCACTTGAACCCGGGAAGTAGAGGTTGCAGTGAGCCATGACTCTACAAATGCACTCCAGCTTGTGCAACAGTGTGAGATTTTCTCTCTCTCTCTCAAAAAAAGTATATATATTTTAAATAATTCTGTTTTTCATGGCTGTGTATCTTGCCTCACAAACAAGATTATACTCCCTGAAGTGTAAAGTCCACTGTATATATTTATCTTATGTTCCTTGTAGTTCCTGCATGTAGAGAAGGTGCTAAACAAAGGCTCGTTGGATTACAATGTAAGGATGCTTAAGTTATGACATTATGTCATTTTCCCAAATCTTCTCAATGTGAAATTCTAGTTTTTTTTTTTTCTTTAGAGATCATCTCTATTAGTTAGATGCCTGCTTTGTAGTGTTCTCAGTTTCTAACCAAATTCAGTTAATTATTTCCATTGGGATAATTATGAAAATAAGTAAAGACATTCACTTTCCTAAATAAGCATGAGTAGCTTAGATCTATCCTCCTAAATTCACCTGGAGTCCCTAGTTAATCTATTCCTTTTAAAACAATTATTATTGCTTCACAGATAGTCTACATGAAAATACAGATTCCAGAATTCTTGAAATCAGGTCTTGGGGAATCCTAGAAAACCAAGGGAAAAAAGAAAAAAAAGAAATGGCTTGGCCAGGCGCAGAGGCTCATACCTATAATCCTAGCACTTTGGGAGGCCGAGGCAGGGGGATCACTTGAGGTCAGAAGTGTGAGACCAGCCTGGCCAACATGTCAAAACCCCACCTCTACTAAAAATACAAAAATTAGTGGCGGTGCATGCATGTAATCCCAGCAACTCAGGTGGCTGAGGTATGAGAATTGCTTGAACCCGGGAGGCAGAATCTGTGGTGAGCCAAGATTGTGTCACTGCACTTTACCCTTTATCCTGGGCAACAGGGTGAAACTCTGTCTCAAGAAAAAAAAAAAAAAAAGTGGCTTAATAGTTTTTTTTTTCTGTTGTTTTGTTTGATTTTTGCAGTTCCTATAAAAAAAAATGCATAATTGTTGCAATGGGTGGCAAAGACTCTGTTTTCACTATTATTTAAGACAAGATAAATACGTAAGTCAGATTCTCATAGTTTAAGACAAAAGACAACAATATCTAAATGCTAGCAGTGAAATCACCATGGTTGTTCTGGCTTTTTCAGGGGCTTACTAACAATGAAAAATGTAGCAATGTGACAGCACATGGCCATTCTTGGAGATTCATGAGCAAAATTACTTAAGGGAATATTAACCTGTAGAATCCTTGTAAATAAACTCCTCTGATAACAAGCTGATGTGCACTTTACTTGTCACCATTAGAAAAAGACCAACTGGCCATGCTTCTAAGTGATCCATTAAAGTTTTGAATGAGAAGTGCTCAGGATAGTAATGTAGGCTGGTTCCTCTCTTCTGGAAAAATCATAATCTTAACAGCATAGGAACTATTCATCAGCAGCTAATTTAACTTCACATTTAGATCAATTAGAGAAGAAAAAAAGCTGAAGTTAAGCACTTGTTTATACAATTTTTCTAAGTGAAATTGCTCACTCAAAGAGCATTGCAATAGGAACAGTCAGCGCTTTTCTCAAAAGGGTTTTATGCCTGAAGAAAGAGATTATCCTCTATTAATGATACCTGTATAGAAACAACGGGTGATAGGCATCAGATGTAGCCGCTGCTGGAAGGTCTGACCTGACCACCTGAGCACTCCAGGCACGGTTTTGATGGCTTTGCATTGACTTCGTGTTAACCACATTACATCTTATCCCCTTCCCTTCCTCAACTTTTACACATTTGCGTCTTTGAATGTTGTTTTGCTACTACTTCATGTATTCTAATAAATATTAACTGAGCATCTATCTATTCAAAGCATGTGCTAAGTGCTGAAGGAGACAAGATATATAATTAATAGAGATGACGTATGTAAAGTGCCTGGAACTTTAGCCCCAGTAGATATTCACTAAATGATTGCAGAGAAAATCCCCAAATAAACAAATAAATGGTGTAAAAGATGAGATAGGGAGTTTGTCCCGGAATGTTAAGAAACTAAAGATATTTTTATTTGTTTTGAGCATACTTTCTTCTATTGCAAGAAGGTTGCAAGTGAAAACTTGTGCATGTGCATGTACACACATATACACACACACACACACACACACACATAGAAATATACTATTATTTTTGAGAAATTCAAGTCTATTCTTTCTATTCTTGGCTACACAACAGAAATCTTCAGAGACAAATTAACTAACCCCTCCCTCCTCCTCCAATTAAATTCTGAAGAATTTGCCTACTTACTGGGTAGTTGAACATTCTTCATGAGTCAGGATTACTTCATGTCTTCATATTTGAAACCAAAGTGCTATTTTCTGCACCTCTTAATTGGAGTATGTATGACATGCCATTGTACAGAGTGTTCCTCCAATTGAGGACCTCAATGTTCTTTTTAAGCAAAAGATAAATCTAGGATAAGGCTTACAATCCAGAGTTATTTTATAAACAGCACCCTATGACAGTTAATAGATTTAGTTCAAGCCATCGTCCTACAGATAAAGGAAAGGAAGCACAAGAAAGAGAACTTTCCCCAAATCATAAATTAAAGCCTAGTGGGTTCCAGGATCTAGGTCTTTCGGGCTAGCATGTAGTGTTGTTTTCTCACTGATTACTTCTAAAGGGCTAGGAAACCTTGACTTCTCTCTAAAATTCTACAGACTACCAGTCTTTACCATTTGTCTCTGTGACTTAGCACCCCAACAGCTATCCTGATAGCATAAAACTTTTTCTAGCCTGGGGTCAGGATCTGACCTGGTACTCCCAGTATTCCCAGAAACACTTAACCCACAGGATGTCTCTTCTACTGCCTCACAACTATACTGGCTGGTTTAAGCCACTGGATGCTTCACACTGCTTTGTATAATATTATCCTGGAAAGGCTGTGATACTATATTTCTGGCCACTATACTTCCATTTAAAATTGTGAGACAAGACTTCCCTGCACAAACTTCACAAAGTTACATCCCAAATCAGGAAAAGAATGTCAAATGAAGGTTCAAGACTCCCATAGCTGGTCCACGGAGACATGATACTTCTGTGTTAAACACTTAGCAGCATGCCAAGAATTGTTCCTACAATCTTGTTTCTAAGAGTTATTTGAAATTTCATAATGAATAATAAAGATTAATTATATGATATGATTAGTGTCTCCAAAGAGCTAAACCAGTACCAGCATTTCATTATTTCATTATACTACTAATAAAATATTATAGAGCAGATTTGGTTTGTTAATTCTTTTAACCTTGCATATATCTTAAATGTGTGTGTGTGTGAGTGTTATAGTTTCACTTTTCTTAAGTTCACGTCCACTCAGACTTTTGCCCTCATCTTGATTGGCTTTGATATCTTGGCTCCTCTCATAGTAAAGAGATTCACAATCCTAAAGTCACTGACTTCTCATTTTTTGTCTCTATAGAACTCAAGACTATATATAACTAAAAATCTGGGTTTATTTTTAATAAGAGTCCTAACACATTCTTTTGTCAAAAGGCAACCACGTACCACAAAGGGGGATCAAGAAGACCAAAAAAGCCCCATGGCGCTCCTTCAGCCTTTCAGCCATGTATCAGATTGTTAAATCGAGGGATGGCAATGACATGTAGACAAGTCAATGTTCTGGGTCAGTGACATGGCATTGGACAGAGGTCAATGGCTGGGAAATCAATATTGAGAAGGAGAAAAAAAGGAGTGTAACACATTTGTTTCTACCTTTCAACTTCCCTTCTCTCATACAAAACTCCTCATCTGCTGTGTGAAATGAACATTTTAGGTAACAAGCCATTTCATGTATTAATCTTTCTAGACCAGAACAAAAGATTGGCTCTGACTAAAGACTAATGGGTCCAGTAGAGTCTTAGGCTGTTCAATCAAGACAATTTATTATGGCCAGCTCAAAGTTGATATTATGTTATTGTACATTTTCTCTTTTTTGTTTACATTACAGGAAATTATCTCATTTCCTTGGTTTCAAAAGACCTATTCCAGCCAGTCTAATGTTGGCCCTATCTGTGTTCTTAGATCTCTCTTGTATCTTGCCCCTCTCATCAATAATTCTTTGTTTAGATGCATGAATATATATATATATATAGCATTTATAGCTGTATATATTCAGTTCAAGTAAACATCATCAGTACCTAGTTCCTTCCCAATACTTCTAAGCACCGAGGGGCTAAAATTGGAACTGAACATACTTGTTCTGGAGGAGCTGCTCTGACTTAAAAAATTCAGATAAAAGTGTCCAACAACTTTCAGCTTGGATCGTAAGGGAAATAAGAAAGTCTCAATAATAGATATCCTCAGTAAAAACCAAAAACCCATTTGAGAAAGTGTATTCACTCTCTTTAGGTTCTACTCAGTGAACTCTGCAAGTTTGTAAAGGATAATCTAGATTAAAAAATATAGGCCCAGCATGGTGGCTCATGTCTGTAATCCCAGCACTTTGGGAGGCCGAGGCAGGCAGATCACGAGGTCAGGAGATCGAGACCATCCTGGCTAACATAGTGAAACCCCGTCTTTACTAAAAACACAAAAAAAAAATCCAGGCGTGGTGGCGGGCGCCTGTAGTCCCAGCTACTCCAGAGGCTGAGGAAGGAGAATGGTGTGAACTCAGGAGGCAGAGGTTGCAGTGAGCCAATATTGAGCCATGCACTCCAGCCTGGATGACAGAGCGAGACTCCGTCTCAAAAAAAAAAAAAAAAAAAAAATGATGCAACCAAATATGCTTCATTGATCCCAAGTGATTGTTTTCTTATTGCAAAAGCCTGTGATCTATCCAGGGAGAGAGAGGATAAGGTTTAAGCTAAACAATGACTAAGGTGTTAGCATCATTTAGGCTACAAAAGCCCAGATGGAAGGAGGGCATTGACTGAGGGCATTATTCAGATGATGAAATCAAACTTGGTTAACTTTCCTCAAAAGTGAAGGAAAAAGAGAGAGAGAGAGAGAGCTCTAACCTTCACATGTAATGGCTGTTATCAACTCCAAAGGTCAAAAGAGAATGCCCACCCACCCCCACAATGTACAGGGAGAGCCTTGTGGGGTTATGAAGCAAAATCTAATAGTTGGTATACATGTCACAGAAGAACAACATAATTTTAAATATACAGCAAAATTATTCCACTGAAGAAATAGAAATGTTGAATATAGTCACATCTATAGTTTCCAGCCTCACTACTATGTTTAATAAGCAGCTGAAAAATTGCTGATTTGTGGGCACTACTTATTTGTGAAAGCCCCCTCAAAAGTAGAACAGCATAGAACATAGAGACCTTGAGGCTTGCATCACACACTCTCAGATTCATTGTTGGTCACTTTAGAAGGTAGATTAGATTAAGGGTCACATTTGAGGGTAGGGGGAAAGATGCACATTTTTTGGAAAAAAAACTGTATGGCCATTAGTTTGCCTCACTCTGCCTTGTGGGTGGGGTTGATGCTTCTACTAAATTCACGTATCTTCTCCCATTAAACTATTCTTCTGGATGTGTTTACATTTTTTTAAAAAATCTGTATCTTTCTCTCTGAAAAACAAACCTTCACTGCCTGAGAGCTGGGTCATTGATTATAAGCCACAGGTGTGTTGTCAACACAATCAAACCTAGCGTGGGAATAGAGGCTCCTGCATCCCTAACAAGATAATGGTGTCAAGGACAGGTTTTTAGCAAAATGCACTGCATTTTCCATTCGAACAATAAATTGTTTCCAATGGTTGTCTCTTCTTTTATCATCTCGGGTTTTTGTTATTTCATCCTCTAAGTGATCCCAAAGCTGCCCCGAGGTATACAAATCAAATTCAGTGCATGTGCAGCTGCCACATTGCTTCTTGGGTTTTGCACCGTCAAAATACTTTGATATCTAAGCTAGGAGGTGAGAAAGAGGGTGGGTGAGGGAACAGATGAAGTAAGCACATTCATATCTGTGCTCACATCCATTCACAACTAAATCATACAAATGCATGGTTTCACACTCACGTTAAATGACAAAAAGTGTTGATGCATGCATACCTATATACACATAAAGATATATTCAGGGTCACTGCCATGTAATAGGTAGTATATACAACTATATAACATATCACTAGAAAATAGCTCTAATTTCCACAAGTAATAGTTGCTGTCAACTCTAAAGGTCATCACAGACACCCAACCAGCCCTACTCCCAGTGTACAGGGAGTGCCTTGTGGAACAGTTTAGCCTACAGCACTGTCCTCATAACCAGCCAATGCATGGACTCTCAAACAGAGCACATGTGTTTTTGCAAGAGAGAATAAACTCCCTCACCCCAAACTGACACTTTCCAACTACACAACCAATCCCCAGAGGGTTTCTTCAGCACTACAGCTACACGGGGTCTAGTATTATGCAGAGGTTACTACTCTCGTACAGAAAGAAGGCTCATTCAGAAACTTCCCTAGTGGCTTGCTAGATATCCAGCTCTTTGTAGTTGGAGGCAAAAGAAGAGGGCATAACTAAAGCATTGTTCACCCCAATACTCACTGGCTCAGAACCTGAGAACTTGTTTGACATATTCTGATATTCTGTAATTTTTCCATTCCCTTCTTCACAATGTGGTGAACAAAAACTACCAAATGAGTAGCTGATCAAAAGGAGGACATGATCAGAGAGTAAGACAATGCAATTAAGGATCTTCCAGGCAAACAGCTCCTTCTTCTTCAGCCTGGTCTTCTTTATTATCAAAGCATTGCCTGGGTAACACCCACAGCCAGGACTAGGCAGAGGCCAGAGAGGAACCTAGGGTGCCAAATTTAAGAACACATTCTTCCTTAGGTCCTGAAACTCCATTAGGTCCAAAATATAATGCTATGAGGAAACTAGCATAAACCAGACAGAAAATTGATAGATTCATTCGAAGAGTCATTTCCAAACCAATTCTATTTTTTCATGATTCCATGACAAACGAACTCCATACATTGCTTTGCACACCCAGAGAAGAAGCAGGCGGGAGGGGAAGGAGGTCTAATTAGAAAGCCTTCTTCCCGGGGCTGCTAAGTAACTTCAAGCCTTTAAGAAGGTGAAAAAGGGTAAAATGGAATTAAAAGAGTTAACAACTAACAAACACTTTTCGTTCTGAAACCTCTTAGTAAACGTTCACTAACGTTCTCTCTAAAAAATTAGAGTATTACATTTTAGGAGGTATCCAGGGTTTTTCCTTACTTAAACATATTTCACAAAATATAAATTACTGCTTAGGCATTTGATAAAAATTGTCCAATTTAGTACTTTGGATAACTTTGATCTAAAAGCAGAAACACTATTTTCACTTTGGTATTTCCCAGATTGTATCCACTCATTCATTCATATACACAAACATAGACAAATTTTGTGGCACCTAGGCACTGCTCTAACTGCTGGAAATATAAAAATACATAAATAAAAATACCAGTTTCAAGAAGTGATAGACTAGTATGATTTTTTTTTTTAAATCAGCCAAAAGATGGTCCTTTCAACATTACCAATGTTCTCTCCAGTGCCCTAACAAGATGACATCCAGGGAGAAAGTAGCCTGTCCCCTGACAAAGAGTTCTCTTTGTAATGGAGTTCACATTTGACAAAGTTCTATTGATTTCTGAACTCCCGCTTTCCACCAACCTCTAGCATGCTCTCTGTATTTACCGAAGTCTGTTCCATTATCTCCATCTGGTAATGTTGTTCCAAATAGTTATTTGGTGTAAAAATTTCAAAAAAATACAATGATTTCCTTGAGACACTCTGCCATCTTATTCCTTTCTTCTCCATCAAAAAATATTTTTTAAAATGGTTAAACAATTTCTCTCAAGCGTTGGTGATTTTTCTTCAATTATTATTCAATCTTATTGCTTTCTGAATTAATTACTACATGTTTTTTTCTTTAACTTTTATTTTAAGTTGCAGGGTACATGTGTAGAATGTGCATGTTTGTTACATAGGTAAATGTGTGTCGTGGTGGTTTGCTGCACAGATCAACCCATCATCTAGGTATTAAGCCCAGCATCCGTTAGCTATTCTTCCTGATGTTTTCCCTGCCCCCACACCCCTGACAGGCCTGAGTGTGTATTGTTCCCCCCAATGTGTCCATGTGTTCTCATCATTCAGTTCCCACTTATAAGTGAGAACATGTGGTGTTTGGTTTCCTGTTCCTGCATTAGTTTGCTGAGGATAATGGCTTCCAGCTCCATCCTAGTCCCTGAAAAAGACATGATCTTGTTCCTTTTATTCCATGGTGTATATGTACCACATTTTCTTTATCCAGTCTATTATTGATGGACATTTGGGTTGATTCCATGTCTTTGCTATTGTAAATAGTGCTGCAATGAATATACACATGCATTTATCTTTATAATAGAATGATTTATATTCCTTCGGGTACATACCCAGTAATAGGATTGCTGAGTCAAATGTTATTTCTTCTTCTAGATCTTCGAGGAATCGCCACACTGTCTTCCACAATGAGATACCATCTCATGCCAGTCAGAATGGTGATTATTAAAAAATCAAGAAACAACAGATGCTGGTGAGGTTGCAGAGAAAATGAAATGCTTTTACACTGTTAGTGGGAGTGTAAATTAATTACTGTTTTTAATATCACCCATTACTTTTGAATTTTCATATTTTGGAAGTATTTTCTTTTCTGCAATTAGCTCTGTATGTTTGGATAAGATGAGGGAAATTAAGTCAGACACTGTTAGTGCCACAATCCTTTGAATTCATTTTCCCAATCATATTCAGGTTGACTCAAACGTAGTAATCCTGCCCATGTATATATCACAGAAACTTTTTACATTCACTCTGGTAATTGCATTCAAATTTCTCTGAGATATATAGTCATGACAGACCAATTCTGTATAACCTCATCAATGAGGATCAAGTAAAGTAACATCACCTTTGAGTTATAAACACCATGCTGATATTTCAATACAGATTTGGTTTATATAATATCTTTCAGTACTGACAATTAAAGAAAAAAATAAATGTAACAAGCAGAGAGGCAGAGAGAGAAAGGTCTCAAGGCCAAGCCCCTGTGATGTCCTCCATTTGCAAAGTGTTTGGTGACATCGTTGTAACATCATGAGCATGATCCCCGGGGCTGCCTTCTTCGATTATTCACCCACTCTTCCATCGGCTCCTACACCCATGCACACTCAACACAAATGGTAAGAAATGGACACTTCTCTTTGAATCTGTTCAGCCATTCCCAGATTACTGATGGTCAGGTGTTTGTAAAAATTATTCCCACTATTGAAGGACCTGAGGTGGGGAGAAATAACCAATTTGCAAATAAAAATCTAACTATTGAAGGATCTAAAGTGGGGAGGAATAGCCCATTTGCAAAGAAAAAAAAACCCACAAAGAAAAAAAACCCACAAAGAATTATAGAAGTAAAATTTAAACAGAATCTAGAAGCACCTAGCACACATTCTTAGGGTTTTTGTCCTCGTTTTTGAGAAGACTCTTCATCGATACCACCAAATTCATTCTTGGAGAGACAAGGAATTTCCTTCCCGGTTTTTCGTACAAAGAAATTACATGAAACACCTTTGTAACCTTAAGAGAAAGACTTGCCATTCTCAGTCTCTCCGATACTATAACAGGTAGAAACACACTCAGAACTGGTGCTTTCTGAGCCAGATCCTTCTCACCACATGGAGGATCAACAACAACTTTGATTTGCATCATGATACATACTTTTCTGGGCACTTTATACATACATTATATCACTTGATGCTCAGCCCTCCCTTGGACATAAGCAGGACTAGCAGTCTTATCTTCATTTTGCAAGGTATAATGTCTGGGCAACACAGTGCACAGGTCTGGGAAGGTACCAGGATCCTGAACAAAGACTAGAGTTTTTTTCAACCCTTTCACACTGCCTTCCAGACAATGAAGAGGTGGGAGCTATGGAGAAAGAACTTCTTCACTTTGCAAGTAGTCTAATTCTTAAGAACCCAGTCACTATATCCAAAACAGTGGGAAAAAGTCACCCATCAGCACTGGTCAGGGACCACTTGTAAGTCTCAGCAACTCTGACTTGATAATGTAGTACTTTCTCAGTACCCGCTGTGTGAGGCACTTAAGTGTGACAGGATCATTTTTCCTGCAGAATGACGCATAGGGAGCTAAGGATATGGACTGAAACCTGCTATTTTTTCTCAGGGTGGAAAGAGCAACATTCAGAGCACAGAGGGTATGCTTTGAGATTAAAAATTAATTTGTCTTCTTGTCCCCCATTCATTTATCCCAAATAGCCTCCAGCCCCCAAAACAACTACTTACCAATTCTAAAAGAAATAGAAAGAAACACAGACCCATGATATTAAGAACATGTTCATGAAAAAAAGAAAGAAACAATGGGGATAAATAGTTCAAGACACTCAAAACATACTTTCAGAAATGAAACAGATTGCACCTCGTGACTACTCCTTCAAGGTAAATATGTATATTCAACTCTAGCCACAGGGTGTACAGCTGCACAAGTGATCATAAATTACTTTCCTATGCCTCTAGACAAGAGCAGATTTAACCCAGTCTCAAACAGCAGGATCTTTCTGAGTGGAAAAGGTCCAAAACCTGCAAAGTTCACACAACTACTGTGGCCTGTTTGCTTATTAGTGAGTTCACAGATGTCACTATCTGGACTGGAACAACCCCTCCAAACAAAAAGGAAGCAGGTACAAAGCCTTTCTGATCAATACCTCTGTGACTCTGAGCAGCATGGAAGGGCCTCAATTGCAGAAAGAATACCTATAATTCCCACAGTACACCATCACACTTGCAGACTTGCCTATGTACAGCCAATTTCAACTTCTTCCCTCAGTGCGAGTTTCCTGCTTATTCTCATTCAAAGGACTGCTTCAGATTCTCTGCACCCCATCAAAGTTGTTAGAGGTAACCTTTGCTAACTGGGAGAAACAGCCATACTTAGGCACTAGATTAGCTAAACCAGCCAAAGACAAAACACAAACACCATCATCAGTATTGAGACAAGAAAAGAAGATTGGCTCTGCCGAGAAAAGCCAATACATAACAGGATGACACAAGCAACAAGGACTCAAAGTAAATATTCAGAGAAGTTGAGATTAGATCAAATCTCCCAGTGTCCTTCTGAAGAGGAGATCCCATTATTATGTAATTAGTGAGAGGTGACAGCGTGCTGGCAGTCCTCAGAGCCCTCGCTTGCTCTTGGCACCTCCCCTGCCTGGGCTCCCACTTTGGCGGCATTTGAGGAGCCCTTCAAACCCCCACTGCACTGTAGGAGCCCCTTTCTGGGCTGGCAAGGCTGGAGCCCACTCCCTCAGCTTGCAGGGAGGTGTGGAGGGAGAGGCGCGAGCGGGAACCGGGGCTGCGTGCGGCACTTGCGGGCCAGCTGGAGTTCCGGGTGGGCGTGGGCTTGGCGGGCCCCGCACTCAGAGCAGTCGGCCAGCCCTGCTGGCCCCGGGCAATGAGGGGCTTAGCACACGGGCCAGTGGCTGTGGAGGGTGTACTGGGTCCCCCAGCAGTGCCAGCCCACCGGCGCTGCGCTCGATTTCTCACCGTGCCTTAGCTGCCTTCCCGCGGGGCAGGGCTCGGGACCTGTAGCCCGCCATGCCTGAGCCTCCCACCCACTCCATGGGCTCCTGTGCGGCCCGAGCCTCCCCAAGGAGCACCACCCCCTGCTCCACGGCGCCCAGTCCCATCGACCACCCAAGGGCTGAGGAGTGCGAGCGCACGGCACGGGACTGGCAGGCAGCTCCACCTGCAGCCCTGGTGCGGGATCCACTGGGTGAAGCTAGCTGGGCTCCTGAGTCTGGTGGGGAGGTGGAGAGTCTTTATGTCTAGCTCAGGGATTGTAAATACACCAATCAGCACCCTGTGTTTAGCTCAAGGTTTGTGAGTGCACCAATCGACACTCTGTATCTAGCTGCTCTGGTGGGGCCTTGGAGAACCTTTATGTCTGGCTCAGGGATTGTAAATACACCAATCAGCACCCTGTGTTTAGCTCAAGGTTTCTGAGCGCACCAATCGACACTCTGTATCTAGCTGCTCTGGTGGTGCCCTGGAGAACCTGTGTGTGGAAACTCTGTATCTAACTAATCTGATGGGGATGTGGAGAACCTTTGTATCTAGCTCAGGGATTGTAAACGCACCAATCAGCGCCCTGACAAAACAGGCCACTCGGCTCTACCAATCAGCAGGATGTGGGTGGGGCCAGATAAGAGAATAAAAACAGGCTGCCCGAGCCAGCATTGGCAACCCGCTCGGGTCCCCTTGCACACTGTGGAAGCTTTGTTCTTTCGCTCTTTGCAATAAATCTTGCTACTGCTCACTGTTTGGGTCCACGCTGCTTTTAAGAGCTGTAACACTCACCGCGAGGGTCCGTGGCTTCATTCTTGAAGTCAGTGAGACCAAGAACCCACCAATTCCGGACACATTAGTACTAATATTTTAAACATAGATGTTTATAGGAGGAAAGTCAGGAGTCAGCATAAACAGATTAAGCACATGCTAAAATCTCTCTCTTCTCCTTCATATACGTAAAAATGATAGGCATTACAAAGGTTGTAAAATGCATAAAATTCAAGTAATATATAGAGTTGTAAGAAGCTATATTCTAAGAACAATTCCATAACGTGATGCCTTAAGTTTAAACACAGGTGTGTGATCAAGCGGTAAGAGCCTGGTACAGGGGTCAGCAAACTATGGACTGCAGGTTAAGTCCAGACTATTTTTATAAATAATGCTTTATTGGAACAAAGCCATACTCATTTATTTATGTATTGGCTATGGCTGTTTTGTGCTACTATGGCAAAGTTGAGCAGTTGCCTCAGAGATTGTGTGACAATCAAAACCTAAAATATTAACTATCTGACCCTTTACAGAATAATTCTGCTAATCTCTGATCTGTAGCAATACTGTAAGTGTTGAAAAATTAGCACGTCCTCCCAGCGTAAGTAATATCTGACTACAGTGGAGAAGGAGGACTTAGTTGCAACCCAGTTTAGCATCCCTTTGCTGCATCCCTCCTCCCCTCTCAGCTTTGCTCAGTAATCTTTCCTTCACTGCCATACTCTCCCCTCGTACCTCAGACCATAAACCCCACCCAAGCAATTGGCATTAGTACTCCCAAGATTCCCATTGTTCTATATGTTAAGATAGAGAAAAAGGGAATTCTTTTTTCCAGAGATATTAACACAATTTTAAATAAATTTTAATTCCTTTAATAAGTAATCATGTGTTACTTGTTTATCTTTTTCATTAAACAGTTTTCAAGGATCTTGTCTGTTGCCCACTACTATATCTCCCTTGCCTCAATACTTGATAAATGAGAGCATTAGTTAATGAAATACAATAACGAGAACAGTCTTATGGTCAATCACTACTGCGAAGGATAACACTAACCCTTGACATTTGCAAAGCACTCTTCTTCCAAACATTCAAGCATTAAACATCATCATCTCATTAATCTTCTTAAGATCAGAGAGCAAGGAAGATGACAAGGAGACAAGTTTAAACATACCATATGATAGTGAAGAAACCTCTAGATATTTTCCAACTCAATTTATTTTCAAACACATCCTTCTATTTTTTTTTGTCTCCTAAAATGTACTGTGTTCAGCCAATGAGATTTATTTCTTTTAAACTTTCTACATATTTAGAGTTTTCTGCTATGACAAAAAAGGCATAAGTCCCCCAATGTAAGTCTCTGAAGAAAAAATATAGTGGGAGTAGGAGGTGAAAAGGATCACCCAAGAAACTCATTCAGTCTCATGACCAAGGACTGTTTTGCTCATGAAAGACAATGGCCACTGACTTCACCATGCCACCTCCTCACTGCCTCTAAGCCTGCCCTTCCTGGCCCACTTCCACTCATACTAAGAAGGGCAAAACCAGGATCAATGAGTAAGCAACAGGTGAGAAGAGTAGAACAGAAAGTTCTAGAATAACTAATCCAAAAATAATTTAAGGCAGAGGCATAATAAGGCTGTGGAACCTGCCCTTGGTGGTATTAAGGAGGAAGCTAGAGGATCTTCGGAGGAATGCTATGTAATAAATGTTTTCCTCACCAGAAAATGAATCTAGCAGATTTCCAAGTTCCCTCCCAACTCTTAGAAAACTTTGGTCTTTTAATTGCATTCATAATAGATGGCTAAGCTTTTTTTAAGTTATGCCAGCATATGCAATATAATTTATTTACTATTAAGAATAAACACATGCAATGTTTATCAAAATTTTAACAGTAATTAACTCTGAGTCATGTAACGATGAGTGATTTATATTTTCTTATATACCTGTTTAAATGCTTTCCTCATTGAACATATTTTCTTTGGTAAATAAGATACTAAAAGTTTTAAAAATCTTTATAGCAATCATAGAACCAATCACTACATAATATGCAATTTATTCTATGAACATTTCTCAGGCCATAAAGACATTTAGTGTTGTCTCCACAGAACAGAGTAAAAAAAATGTGTGGTATTTAAATATTAAACATATTTAAGCATCAGTGTGGTGGAGATTCCTGACCTTGTCTTCTTTTGGAGCTGCGGTTTTCACTGATGGCCATGAGAGGGTGACTCAAGGAACACCAACCTGCTTAGGTGTCAGTCTCAGGGGGCCAGAGAAGCACAGAAGGCACATGGGCCATGGGGTGCCATGTTGCACAGTGTAGATGGCAGACTGAAGGGCTAAAGGGCAATCAGAGTTTCCCAGGACTGGGTGAGAGTACATCTGGCCCTCCAAAGTCACTAAGAAAAAAGCCAATGTTGATATCTTAGAAGGAGGACTTTTAGGAGCTGATTGGCATAGTCACTCACCAATCAGAATGGAGGAAGCAGGGCACATTGGGAGGCCCTGGATAGCAAATATTTACCAATCAGTGAGGAAGTATGCTAATATTTCAGCAATTTGAACA
This sequence comes from Homo sapiens, assembly GCF_000001405.40. Classification (NCBI taxonomy): domain Eukaryota; kingdom Metazoa; phylum Chordata; class Mammalia; order Primates; family Hominidae; genus Homo; species Homo sapiens. Next base: position 52,363,712 of record NC_000018.10, on the reverse strand, counting down.
TCCATAATGCTTCCTGTTGGCTGAACACTGAAAATGGCTTAAATATATATTTTTTAATTGACCAGTAGAGCCTAGTTCTCTTTTTTGGCCTTGTGCCCTTTCTTATGGGCTATAACATCCCCTGCTCTCAAACTTTCTGAGAACTGCATCTTTGCCTGACATATATCCCCAGTGATAAAGCCTTCTGAGTCAAAGAAGATATGGCCAGAAGCAAAGAGCAAGAGAGGTGTTGTGTCCAAGACACAACTAATGTGAATCTTTCAGGGGAAGGAAGTGTGCTATATTTTTCATCAGCTACATGATAGGAGAGAAAGGAGAAATGAGGGATTCTGAAGGGTGACCTCATGAACCTGATTGGCACTTCCATATTCTCATATCAAAATATAAGAGCTCTAGAAATAGAAACAGAACCCATCAATTACATGATTTCATTAATTAGTCTGAGCTGAACCTGGTCTGAATACAGACTTCTTGATGAGCTGAGTCTCCTATGTGATGGTAAACCAACAAAGTTTATCCCTAGAAAGGTGTTTATAGGCTGGATGCAGTGGCTCAGGTCTGTAATCCCAGCACTTTGGGAGGCTGAGGTGGCGGATCACTTGAGGTCAGGAGTTCAATACTAGCCTGGCCAACATGGCAAAACCCCATCTCTACTACGTGTTGGCACATGCCTGTAATCCTAGCTACTCCTGAGGCTGAGGCAGGGTAATCGCTTGAACCCGGAAGGCAGAGGTTGCAGTAAGCCGAGATCCCGCCACTGCACTCCAGCCCAGGTGACAGAGCAAGACTCTGTCATAAAGAAAGAAAGGAAAGAAGGAAGGAAGGAAGGAAATGAACGAATGAATGAACGAAAGAAAGATAGATGTTTATAATGCAGCCCAAGTAAATAAATGCTCTTTTGGTTTATGGAGGGAGGAGGGGAGTGGGGGGGGCTAAAAGAACAAAGAGAAGTTTTGTTTGATTCTGCTCCCACTCCCAACCTGCCTATAGGGAGATTATTCAGCTTTTCTTCTTCAATATTTAATATTCCAAAGTTCTATTTTTTTAAGGTTCCTCTGATATTCTTGGTTTCAGGAGTTAATAACCCAAAACAGAAACTCAATCATAGATTTTAGAAGCTAAGAGAAAAAAAATAAAAACTATAGGCTACAAGATAAAATCTATTATAGCATTCAAATTTTATAACCCTCCCTTATCTTCCCCTTACAAACTTATGAAAGATTACTTGATGCAAATTGGACAGGTCCTACACTTATCCCCGATCTTTTTGTTTCTAACTGGGCCACCAACCAATGCTGGTGGTCGTAGAGCATAAAGAGATAGATATATGAGGTCTTGGCATAAATTCAAGAAAGAAGTTGACTGTTTATCAAGTAAGTCCTGTGACTTCCCAGCTCCAAGTGGGGGACATAACCGTCAAATCTGGATCTGTGGAAAGCACAAATGGTTGGATAAATGGAGCTAACATACCTAATAACCATCATTCACTCATTCATGGGAATGGCCAGATGTCTGGAAACAGGACTGCCATCCTTGAAGAAAAGAGCTCAGGGACTGGCCTTTTCCTTCAAGCAACTCATGGTTCATTTGGTGTATATGAGTTAGCAAAATAACATCAAGCCATGCATAATTAGCAACCAATTACTGGAATAGAAGACACAATTATTCCAATCAATGTGGTCTTTAGTGCCTTGGGACTTCAGAGGTATGGATGAGAATGTGTGTCATGACCTAAATGAAGAGAATAGATGTGAGCCAGCCCTTGGACAGTTATTCTGGTCTTGACACTGTTTAATGAGCACAACACTCAACCCTTTGGAGGAAATTTAGAAGCCACATGAACGAGCTGTGGTGATACTGGTTCCTTCCCTGCACACCATTGCTAATTCATGAGTAACTCACAGCTCTTAGAATATGGTAGCAATTTGAGTAGGAAACATGCTATTACTAGAATGATATGTCTCAAACTTTGACTTGCATAGCCATCACCTGGGGATCTTGTTAAAATGTAGATTCGAATTCAGTAAATTTTGGATGAAGCCTGAGTTTCTGCATTTCTAATATGCTCTCATGTGATATGGAGGTTGGCTGGCCCACAGGCTGCACTTTAGAGGCAAGGTTCAAGAGGGCAGTTGAACATTTTGGAGGCGTTGGAACTGACACTTTTAGAAGACAGGCATGCCTAGCACGTGTCTCTCTTGGAAGGTGATCTGTCTTATAGAGACAATTCTCATCTCAATCATGTCTTTTGTTGTCTAAATAACAAAGCAAATATTTGAGGTTTTCTTTTTCCACGATATTTCTTTTTACTTATTTGGTAGAAAGAAAACACAACTCAGTATCTTAATGCAATGCAAAAATAAACATTAACTTTCCACAAATTTCACAGTAAATGTGGGGCAGGTAGAGAAAGAGACAAAAAAGACTGAACAAAACAAATAAATTGTGGTTTATTCTGAAGTGATGGGATTATGGAACAATTTCCTTCTCAAACTCACACATTTATGTAATATTTGAATATTTATAATAAGCATATATATCTTTTTAGGTAGAAATTATAATAAAGATAAGGATAGAAATGTATATTAAAGTTTGAGAAGGCCAGGTTTTTGTCTCAACATGACTGTCAGCTTCATCACCGTGAAAGCATCACTTTGCGCTGCTGTGACCTCATGTGAGACAAATTAGGCAACTTAGTATACTCTAAAGCTTGTAAGTAATAGAATAGATGAGTTTTAAACTGTAAGTTTGAGGATTAATTGACTTTAACTGTGCATTCATAGATGGGTCCACTTACACACCTCCAATCATGAGTAAAAACAATGCATTCTTACTAGCAATCCCAAACTGGCCCTTTCCTTTCTGTAGTTGCAAAACAATAAAAGAATTCAGGAACTAAACATTTGTATCCAATTTCATTTTTGGCTTAGTTAAGCAAAATTGTCCTCCCCAAAAAAGACTTTCAGTGTTTTCAAAACAAGTTTCTTTGCTGAAATGGCTCTTTTCATAAAATCATACAGTAGTTTCTGATTTTTTTAAATCATGCACCATCTCTTTAAGAGAAAATTGGGTTATTGATTAATTGATTATATGCTGCTCACAAATGCCAACTTAAGCACAAGTAAGGAGACACTATTGAATGTTCATAACTCAAAGCCTGCAAGACCACGCTACATGGTTGCATTATTACCGTCTCCTATTTTAATGAAGACATAGCACAGCACTTTGTTGGCCTAATTTACACAATACATCAAAACTGTGCAAAATTCCCTTACACTACAATGGGAGAGAAATTGCAGCACATATGTGAATCACAGAGTTAAGTTGGCTTGTTAAGGTAAGGCATTAGCATTCTAAAGCTGTATTTGGAATGTTAGTCTTTTATAAGGTGGCAGTGGATTTCTTCTTCAGAGGAAATTAAAGTGCATGAAGCTGTCTTATAACTTGTTAGTGAAAACTGTGACATTTGAAAATGATTAACAGAAAATTGAATTTTTATTTATATACTCAATAATCTAGAAGTGTCTAAATAATAAACGGTTCACAGAAGAAGATCCCTCTTTTAGAGAGGAGAATAACAATAATAAAAATAAAACAACATTGCAAGAATTAATGTGATTTGCAAAAAAATAAAAAGCAATAGTGTAATAATTACCCACAACAATAAAAATAACAACAATAGTGTAATAGCTACAACATCTATTTATCTAGGAATTATAGCATAGACTTAATTAAGGACATGTTATGGAGCAGGATTTAAATCATAAGTCTGCAATTTACTAGCATGGAGGCATGGAAAAATTGGCCAACTTTTTGGTGTCTCACTTTTCCTACTTGTAAAAGGACATAATATTAATTCCTCTCTCACTGTTTAACTGTGAGGAAAAAAATAATATGGGAACATACAGCAGTTTGAACTGAGTATTGCCTGTGACAGAAACCCCATTACAGTGTTTTAAAATCAAACAGAGGTTTACTTTGTAGCATAAAAAGAAGTCTAGAAAGAAACAATCCCAAGATTATATAGCTACCCCAAGGAAGTCACCATGGACTCAAGCTTCTCCTCATTTCCTTCTCATTGTTCATAATAGATGATGTAACACAGGATGGCTACTTCAATTTCAGGCCTCACTCCTACTTTCCAGAGAAAGAAGGAAGCAACAAGGAGGAAGGGGGTGGTAATTAGGACAGGAGAGTAAGCTTACTCTGAAATCCCCAGAAGTGTCCTGATTACCATGCCAATCACCAGAACTTTCACATAACTACCCCTAGCTGCAAGGGAGCCTGAGAAATCGAGTCTTTGAGCTAGCACATTGCTACTTAAAATGGGATATTCTTCTGTATTAAATATAAAAATGGGTGGGCAATAAGTATTTCTTAAGCAATATGTACCACATCACTTCAAACCATACAATTTCATAAATATTAACCATTATTATTAGTCTACATTTTTGTACCACATGTGTACCTCAAACCCAATGAAACAGCCTATGGTGTATGGTCTAAAAATACAGACATCTCTCTGCAGTAACTCATTTATGTAGGGGAGATTTAAATACTACTTAAGGAAGAAGTTCCATTGGTGGGTTGGAGACAGAAAGGCTAAAGACAGGGAATAGGAAATGCAACATCTGTCCCCAGATCAGCCCTTCTCTTACTGAATCTAAGTCATATGTAGAGAAAAATTACAGACCCTAGTTAAATGAATTGTTGTCATGGAGGATTTTATAAATTGGAAGACACAAGCAGTATGATAGAGTTTAACAGAGGGAGAATCAACATTGGGACAGTCTTGTCAGTGGACATAGTAATAATGCTCAGGCACTGGAAACGTTCTAAAGCATTGATGCTGCAGCAGCAATCTACCAGAGGAGCAGGATGGCTGGCAAGAGACGGTGGCTGCCTGGGGACATGAAAGCCAGCAAGCATACCAGACTTCCAGACATGTGAAGATGCCTAGCAGAAGATAACTGGTTTATGACATAGCTCTTAGGACTCCTAGAAACATGTAAGGAAAGCATTGCAGGATGCCAAAGACAAGTTTTAGAGGGTGGAGAGTATCAGTAACAATGAGGAGTAATTTTGGTTATGTTCATATTGATTTATATAACCAAGCTAATAGAACACCAGTAGAGTCGTGCTAGTGCTCACTGCCTGTTGAGCAGTGGTAATGTGGAAATATGGTAATATGGTAAATAATTTACATGGCTTTTCTGAAATGATTTTATAAGTACTCTCTGAATTAAGTGTTGTTTTCCTGCTTTACAGATGAAGAAACAAAGGCACAAAAAAGGCGGAATATCTTGTCTTTGTTCTCTCAATTAGAAAGTTGTAGGCCTGGGATCTAAACCCAAGTTCACCTGACTCCAGATCATCCCCTGAGCTCAAAGACCATCTCAATAAGCAGAGAGCCACCATTATTAAGTTTTACGGACAATGCACAGCCAAGTGGTTTTCAAGTGAAGTGTGTATAAGAATCACCTAGAGAGCTTGTTAAAAGTGCTGTTTCACACACTTTCTTTATTTTTGAAGACTTAGATCATTTTAAGGAATATGGTCAGGTGTTTGTAGAATCTCAAATGGGGTTTGTCTACTCTTTTTCTCATTGTAAGACTGGGGTTATGGATTTGGAAAAGGAAGATCACAGAGGTGAAATGCCATCCTTATCACATCATATCAGGGGGTACATGCTATCAACATGACTTATCACTGCTGATGATGACTTTGATCACCTGGCTGAGGTAGTGTTTGTCAGATTTTTTTTTTTTTTTTTTTTACACAGAGTCTCGCTCTGTCGCCCAGGCTGGAGTGCAGTGGCGCGATCTCAGCTCACTGCAAGCTCCGCCTCGTGGGTTCACACCATTCTCCTGCCTCAGCCTCCCGAGTAGCTGGGACTACAGGCACCCGCCACCACGCCCAGCTAATTTTTTTTGTATTTTTAGTAGAGACGGGGTTTCACCGTGTTAGCCAGGATGGTCTTGATCTCCTGACCTCATGATCCGGCCAATTTTTCTACTGTAGTTAACTTCCTCCCCTCCCCCTTGTATACCATAGTCTTCGGAAGGAAGTCGCTAAGCACAGCCCACACTCAAAAGGATATGGGTTGTACTCTATCTACTCTTCGAGAGTAGAGTATATATAATATTTTGAATTCTTCTGCATAGGGGATTTATCTAAGTCTCTTCTCTTTATTTATTCAATTATTTATTTATGTCAGTATGTACTCATGGACATTTATTTTATAGTTTGGGTTATAATAGGAAACTACTTGGTTGATTTTCTTGCTCAAATTGTTGCAGTTTTGACCATTGAGAGTGCTTTCAGTTAGGTTCTGTGTCCCTTTGACATACTCTATCTTTGTGGGTTTTTCACTTTTTTAAAGAATTTCTTCCTTTCTGGCACTCCAAGATGCTCCAGCCTTATCTTGTATGTTTTCTGCATAAGTTCCAGAATCAACTATTTCCCTGAGGAGCTCTGGTTTCTTTTATTGGAGAATGGTATTAGAAATCAAGATCTGAGTGCTAGGTGGCATTTTTTTAGTACATGAATTTTTGGGGAATAAAAGAGTAGAATGTCCTGCTTTTGGAAAGTGTCCAATATGTACTGGTGAGTACATGGGTTAAGCCAGATTTGGAAGCAGTGGCTTATGCCTATAATCCCAGCACTTTGGGAGGCCAAGGTGGACATTTCACCTGACATCAGGAGTTCAAGACCAGCCTGGCCAACATGGTGAAACCCTGTCTCTACTAAAAATACAAAAAAATTAGCCAGGTGTGGTGGTAGGCACCTGTAATCCCAGCTACTCGGGAGGCTGAGGCAGGAGAATTGCTTGAACCCAGGAGGTGGAGGTTGCAGTGAGCTAAAATCACATCACTGCACTCCAGCCTAGGCGACAGAGTGAGACTCTGACTCAAAAAAAAAAAATGATTTAGGTTTTCCAGCCAGAACAGGTAACTTCTGTGTGATCTTAAATAAATAGCTGGCCCCTACTCTCATAACCTCACTAATAACACATGTGAGATAACTTAGCCATTTTGCCCACTTGATAGAGGTATTGAGAGATGAATATGGATAAAAGATTCAAAAGCCATTGGAAGACAGAAAGTCTCAGATAAGCATGGAACAATATCATCCTAATAATAATTTATCAATTATTAATTATCATAACCTCATATGACTGTGTACTCTGGAACAAAGAACAAAGGAAAAGCTATTTAAGTTGCAAATTTTGAGCTGGGCTACCTGCCCTTTGGCCGCAAAATGTACAGAAGATCTTTGATGAACTAGCTAACACCCTTTACGCATTAGTAATAAAGGGTTTTGGCATCCTGAACCAAAGTTTTCTATACATTTTGAAGCAAGGCTGAAAAAAAAAGATGAAAACATTAATTTCCAGCACAGACTTATTCCAGTAGTGCAGGAGCCTAAATATGCTTTCTCAGCCACTAGATTTCCAAGTTCAAAATGCAGTGTGTGATGGCATCTGTCCTTCCCTGAGCTTCTGAGACCTCCTTAAAACTATTATAAAAAGCCCTACTGGTAAAGCCTCTTTATTTTAAAATTACATTATGTATGCCACCAAAGTTACTTCTCAGATGACCTTGCCACATCTCTCTTCCTTTTTCTCCTAGCCTTATCATAAATTCGCTTGGGAAAAGGCTAGTGACCAGGGAAGTCATTGCTAGTGATGAGATCTGGTGCCTGGACTAAGAAGCTTTCTGCAGTGAAGTATCACCATCATTTTTTTTCTTTTTTGTCTTCCAGAGCCTGAACATGTAAAGAACAGTGTCCACATAGGGTCAGGTCCTATGTGGGTAAGGTCCCCAAATTACCCTACCTACCAGACTCAATCCCTCTGCATTCTGGAAGAATTTCTGATCATGTTCTGTTTCTCTCCTCTAACTGCACCTCTCACCCATTTGGTTCTTAATAATACAATAATATATTGCCTTGTGACTCTGGTCACCTTTTTTTTTCTTACATGCTTGCACTGCTTAGGTCTTATTCCTCCAACCATTTTGTTAACTAAAACAACAGAGGCAGTGTGTTTATATGCTGTTTAAATACACCACAGGCGCTAACAAATATGATACATGAAACATTACCTTTAAAAACATCTGTCGAATGAACAAATAAAAATAGAAACAGTTTAGTGCTCAATATGTGCCAAAGACTGTGATAATCCTTGAGTGTAATGTTTTTCAAAAATGTCATCCATTCAGCAATGGCTTTCCAAATTTTACAAATGAGGACCCTGAATCATAGTGAGGGTCACACAGCTACATCTTGGTAGAGCCAAGATTTGCACCCACGTGTACATAATATGTTTCATGGAACTCATTCGTAGATTTGTGATTTAGAGGCTCACCTAGCTTCTCTGGGCCCCTGAGTCCTTACCAGTAGAAAAGGGTCTTCTCAAACACCTGCCAAGGTCCTTTTCTGCCTGATCAGTGCTTTGAAACACAAGAAGTTTTGTGCTTTTCATTCTATGTGCTTTTTTTTTTTAATCTCCATCATCTTGTCTTGACTTCCACTGATTTCTACAAAAATAACATTTTAATGCTTTGACTCACTCAAGTCTTCAGGAATGGTGCTCTGAAGGCAAACACAGAGTCTATCCCTGGGATTATTATGTAGGAAATAATTATTCACCTACTTTATCTTGTTCCATTTTCATATATGCGAGTTGACAAATGCCCTATATGCATTCGTAACGGGGCTTAAAGAGATAGCAAATTCTATAGACTTTATACATTCACATTTTGCTATTTGCAGAATTTCCTCAATTTTGAATTTCTCACAAGCACTCTGAAATGCTGCCAATAACATTATTAATAATGGCATGTAAAGGAAAAATCAGGCAAAAGAAGGGGAGAGAGAAAAAGAAAACAGAATAAACCTCTAAAGAAGAGGCAAGTAATAGCTGAGTAATCCTGAAATTTACAATATCCTGAACTGAACTTTGTGAAGCTCATGCAGAAAGAAACTTCAGATTTCATGCAAATTTGAGAATAATCATTATATAAAAACCAATTTGGTAATGAGTATTTATTGAATAATTAATATGCATTCAGCACTGTACTAGACACAGTGGAACACAGAAGTGCTAGACATGACTTCTCCAATACATACATTATCCTATCATGTCCAAAAGATAACCTGATTCAAAAATGCGTTCTCTGACAGTGTTTTGGCCAAGGAGTTGGTTAAAAAAACCTTCAGTTTTGGATGTCAAGTTAGACTTTGCCACAAGATTAGAGGGTAAGGCCTCCATCTAAGTTGCTTCTAAACCTCCAATCAGATATTCATCTTTTCTGGACGATTAGAACATCCCCTCATAATAGGCCTTGCTATCATTCTCTAATTGTTTCCTCATAGGACTAACAGTGTGTTATCTAAAATGCCATTTCCCTGCTGAAAATCTTTCAGGGTTCTTTCTACTCCCCTCCCCATCATAGGTACCAAATTAGGAGTGACAAACTATTCCAGTTTACCTGGGGCTGTCCTATTGTTAGCACTGAAAGTCCTTCTTCCTGTAAAACTCCTCAATCCCAGGCACACAAGAATGATCGGTCACTCTATTACTACTCCAGTAACTAAGTCCAGAACAATGATGCTTTCTCTTTCTCCTATTTCTTGCTGTATATCCCACTCTCTCTGCCTAGGATTTTGTTCTCTCTCTTCCCTTAATTCTTTCTTAAAGATTTATTAAATTATCTTTCCTAAGCTATAGTTTATAAAATGCATGTTTCGCTGAGAGGCAGTTCATCCCTCTATAAATAGAATTTTACTCTAGGCAGGGAGAGAAAACAGCAGCCTTACATAACCTTTCACAAAAGCTCTACTCATTTACTACCAGGGCCAGAGAAGGGCCTACAGTTCATGAGCTAAGCAGAAACTTCTCTCCCCAGGAGGAACACTAGTGATTTTCATTCAGATTGATCCAATCTGCGCAGCTGAGACCCCATGTTCTCTTCGTGTAGACTCTGATTTGGAGCACGCCAGTTAAAGCTGCTCTCTCTGCCAGGCAGTGCAGAGCAAAAGCTTCAAAACCCTGCACTGAGCTTTCTGCCTGTAAAGCTTTACTCTTCTTCAAAAACCTCTGTTACACCCCTTCTGCCCTGCCACAGAGGCTCAGGCAAATGAGCACTTGGTCTGTTTCATGCCCTGAAGACCATCCCCAATCAAAAGGCGAGGTTCAGTATGGGGTAGCCCCCGTCAGGGTCTCACTTTGAGCATGTGTGTGCTCTCAGCATCAGACTTGGGACACAGAGGAGGGAGGGAGGAGGAGGGCCCAGGGCCTCTGTGTCCCTTTTATGTGTCTTTCTTTTTCCCTGGGTCTGAGCATTTTTAAGGAGGAAAGAGAGTTGAAGGAGGGGAAACTATGGAATGAAAACCAGCAGACCATTGTAAAATATGCGTTCTTATATGAGTATTGATGAGAAAAGAAGGGAAAAGGCAGATGGAACACACAAAGAGCATTTTCAAGGGCTTGTAATCTCAAGGAAAATGAAACGTGTCATGGTCTCCATGAAATATATTTGCCGCTAAACCACAAACCAGAAGACTCTTTGATGTTGGCATAGCTTGCCACTATAAGACCAACTCCTGAAGCCAAAGCATGCAACAGATGCTTCAAGCTAAGAAAAACTAGTGTGGTAGGGGCAGTTTCCCATTGACTACATGATTACTTACAATTGTGAAGAATAGAGGCAAGGATCACCTCCCTATCTGATGCTTTCAGTCATCTAGAGCAGTATTCCTCAGTCACTTGGGATTCTAATTGAGTATGTCTGGGTGTGGCCTGAGGTTTCTGCATTTCTTATAAGCTCCCAGGTGATGCAAATGCCTTGATTCCTGGACTGCACACTTGGAGTAGAAAGACCCTAGGACACTGATTCTCAAACATGACTGCATGTTGGAATCACCATCAGAGACTTTAGAATACTTGTGCCTGGAATACATCTCCGAGATTCTAAATTAATTGGTATGAAGAAGGGCTGGGCATTGACACAAAATCAAGATGAGAGCCACTCCTCCACAGAGAAGACCCTCAGGACCAATTATACCCAGTACTGCACATTAACCAAGCAAGTATTAGCTTCTAGGTGTGCCTGCTGAGTAGATGACGGGTCTGTAGAAAATGGACATGGTCAACCAGGGAAGAGTTAATAGGGGAGGATGGTTTGGATGGAAAATCCACAGGAAGTGTGTCATACGCTGCCAAGTTTGATCAGTATTGCACTATGTCAGATCTAACTTAGCTGGACCTATGAGCCTCTAAATCAAGCAAAGGCATGGGACCAGGGTCCACTAAACCATGATGTGATTGATTTCAAAATTGCCATTGGAGTCTGACTACCTTAATTTATATTTAAGTCTCTAAAATCACAACAATAAAATTGAGGCAGGTTCTAGAAGGGCTGGCCTGTGCCTGTGAAATTTTCTATTTGTAAAGACTACCTCGGGATAAATGTAGCCCATACTAACATAATACTAACAATAGCTAGCATTTATGAAATACTTATTATAAGTCAGGCATTGGAATAGATATTGTATATAGCTAACTACTGGAGTAATTTTTACCCCCAATTTAGAGTTGGGAAGCAGAGGTTGATTTTGTGTCCATTTTATAGGTGGGAAAGTTGAGGTCCAGTGGTTTAAGGATCTCAATCAAACCCAATAGCTGGGATGCTTTTTCCCCCTAGGCTATGCCCCCTCTTATCGAGACCAAAGACCACAGGGCTGTGTAGCAACAATCTTTGCAACATCCAGTGGTAGATGGTAGGTTGATTCAAGTGGTACAGTAGTTCCAGGTCCGGTGACATGGAAAGGTTACAAGCTCAATGACTTCTAAATGAACTGTAACTGAAAGCAAAGAGAACATTCGTTTATGTTTTTAAGAAATAGTAATAGGGACAAAATGCATAGAAAAGGATCATATTGAGAAAATAATCTATAAAAACTCCAAAAAAAATTTAGGTTTAGGTTTACTAAACACGTTCAGGCACACATTTTGAAGGAGGCCCCAGAACAAGGAATGTCCATGGCAATTCTATTTTTATAGAAAAGGTGAAGTTTTGTTTCCCTCTGTTCAGTGATAGCTTTCAAAGGAGAAATGACTTATTACCAAGTTAATTGATAATTACTTGGATTTTTCTAGCTCTGTACACTTTTCAAAGTCCCTCTCTCGGTTGCATACATATGTCCGTAACACCTCATAATGTATCTCTAAACATATAGGATAGATAGGTTCATAAATTCACATCTAATAAAAAAATCAAGGAAAAGGTGGCCTATGTAGTTTGCAGAAATTTTTGAATCATTGTACTGAGATTAGGAAAGATCCTTGATAAGAACTCATTTGAATTTATTCAGTCAATATCTACCAAGTACAAGTAGCTACTACTGGAGAGAGAGAATCCCAAAGTCTTCTCCAGCCTTAGCTAAGCCATTATTATGTTTAGTTCTAGTGGTCCTGGGTACACTGATCTTGGAATTCATGATTTTTCCTCCCACCATGGGGCCTTTGAGCTCACTTTTTTTTACCTGATATTCTCTCGTCTGCCCCTCCTAAATATCCCCTTCTTAACTCATTCTTCAGATGTAAACTCAGTCACACTTTCTCATGGAAGCTGTCTCTGATCTGCTGTCTGAGACCCTTTCCTACAGTATTTTCTTTCTTTAAAGCCTTATCTCATTTGGAATTGTGGGTTTGTTAACATATGTATTTGATTAGCATATTTATCTCACTGGGCTGTAAGCTAAATTGCCACCTTAACACAATACCTGGAACACATTCAAGAAATATGGGAAGAAAGGGTCACGAAAGTCTGGAGATGTTTTTACAGCAACAGGCCACCAGATCTGTAGGCAAAACCATAATATCCTCATTCTTACCACACCAATACTTTGGTTTAAACATGATTGACAACTCTTTAAACTCCCTTGCCTCTTTTTGGTCCAATCAATTTAGGGATACAAGGATGAATGAATTGGCTCTGTCAGTCCATTAGCTAATAAATATTAATATATTATGAGTTTTTTAAATTATATTTAAGTTCTGGAATACATGTGCAGAAAGTGCAGATTTGTTACACAGGTATACACATGCCATAGTGGTTTGCTGCATCCATCAGCCTGTCTTATTTCTCCTATTGCTATCCCTCCCCTAGCCCCCAACTCCCCAGTAGGCCCCGGTGTATGATGATGTTCCCCTTCCTGTGTCCATATGTTCTCATTGTTCACCTCCCACTTATGAGTGAGAACATGTGGTGTTTGGTTTTCTGTTCCTGTGTTAGTTTGCTGAGAATGATGGTTTCCAACTTCATCCATGTCCCTGCAAAGGCTGGTTCAACATACGCAAATCAATAAATGTAATCCATCACATAAACAGAACCAATGACAAAAACCACATGAAGAACAGAACTGTTTGTGTCCCTTTTCGGTGAGTACTTTGTTCTACCTTGTATCCTACCTACCTCTGTGTGTGCCTGTCACCTTCACTGGAGGAAAAGCCCCTGCAGGGCAGAAACTCATCTAAATCTTTTATTCATCTATTTGTAATCGTTGGTAAAGGCTCAGTAACTATTGTACTATCTTCAATGAAATACTTGGTCTTATTTGGTCCTTATAATATCTCAATGATTTTATTAGGCATTGATAGTCCTTCCTGAAAACTGATAACACAAGTTTTGAGAGACCATATGTTTGTCTATGGCTGTACAATAAGCTAAAGATGATGCTGAATTTGTATTTTATAATATGACTCTGGAGAGCTTACTTAGAAGAGCACATCAGAGTTAGGCCCCTTGATTACAAGAAAGATATAAACAAACTAGAGGGAGTTAAAGTAAGAAGACTAAACATGATTAAGCTTCTGGAGTGGTATGAGGAAAAATCAAATGAATTAAATATTTATAATCTGGTTAAGTAAAGACCAAATGGGGAGGCGAGAGTGATTTATAGCTCGAATTATTGAACACATTTCAGCCCAGAAGAGGCAGTGTCACTGAAAAGGGTATGCAGGAATCAAGAGCCAGATGACAAGGGTAATGGAAAGAACATTTAGAACAGGACTATCTCAGATGAATTGTAAAATAAACTTTTAACAGTAAAACTGATATGCTGCTGAAAACTTCCCCAAGGGAAACAGTCACCAAACCATCCCTGGAGATGCCTCAAACCAGAGAGAGAAAATAACCAGAAATTGTCCTGCAGGGAACAGCTCTGCCCAGACATTAAACATGAAAGGAAAAGCTTTGCAGATTCTTCTCTCTAATTTGTATTCTTCTGGGATCCCATGAGACTGAAAAAAGATGCAGGAACAATGGATTGAGGACTCTGGGTGCAGAGGGTTTGCTTAGATGTCTCAGCCTTGGCTCACATCTCTAATGAGTCTGCACAGAAGGCAACACACTACAGAGGCCTCTGCAAGTACATCTGAGGCTTTATTTCATTCAGGGGTCTTCATTAGCCTGTCCCATGGGAGCAGGTGAAAAAATTATAAACCCAAACAAAAATTGGGGGGGATGGTGCACAAAGCACATACGTTTGTTTGAAACCCACAGTTATATATGCCATAAATGTAACAATGATATTGGGCCTATGTATTTTACCATGTTGGAAATATACCCAAATTCAAATGATCATATTAAGATTTTTAACTCAGATTTGGTGTCTACCATTACTACTCTGTGTTTCTGTTATCCTTTAGTTCCATTATATTCAGGGGATTCATAAGGAGCCTCAAATTAAGCCTGGCATCCCAGCATCCTGCTTCCCTGTAAATGATTCTCTATAAAGACACAATAAACAGGATAAGGCAGGATACTAACATGGCAGGACTTGCTCAGGGTAATCAACAATGTTACAGTGACTAAGAATGTCTTTTCCAACTCAAAATCAGTGTACATTTTGGGAAGGTGCTTAAATAAAGCCTAGGCCAGAGTCAACATGGTAAAGTATTAGGCGACAACTTCCTGAACATTAGACTACTGATAACATCTATGCCTAAAAGCAAAGGGTTGCTTAGTAGAAGAAACAGAATAACTACCAATAATATTAAGGTCTAAAAGCAAATGTTGCTCAGTTGAAGAAACAGAATCATAGAATTGTCTTGCTGACATCACAAATAGCTAACAAATTAATGGAAAAAATGTTCAGACTTATAAGCAATCAGGAAAATGCGAATTAAACCCACAATGAGAAGTTACCAGATGCGGGCAAATTAAGCATATGAAAATACCAAGTGTTGGCAGAGGCATGAAGCAAAGAGGCCTTTCATCTGCCCCTGGTGGGGGTTTCAGTAACTGCAACATGTCTTTGCCTCCCGGATGAAAAGATACCCTTCTATGACTCAGCAATTCCACTCCTAGGTATGCACCCTAAACATGGTGGCAAATTTGTGCTGGTGGACATGCACCAGAATGTTTATGCCAACTTTACTAGCAATAGCAAAAAACTGAATTTCAAAATCCATCAACAATAGATTAGATAAACTATGGTTAATTAATATCATGAAGTATTATACACCAGAGAAAGTGACTGAAATACAGCAATATGAATCCACATAGATGAAACTCAGATACTTAACGTTCAGCAAAATTGCAAGTCAGAGAATATACACATTATATTTATTTTATTACTGTTAAGAACAGCCAAGTAAAGTAACATGTTAAAGATGTATACATATGTGGAAAAACTGTACAAAAGGCAAGGGGTTAATACAAAAATCAGAAAACTGCTAGTGGGTACATGGGTATTTGTTATTATTACATTATTATTATTGTTATCATGATCATGAATTGTATTATTAATTATACCAAACACTATATGTATAGTACAGTTCATAATTTAAATAAATTATATAGTGTTGAAACTAATAACTAGAGTTGATCTAGTCCACATTCTCATTTAATAAGGAAAAATACGTTGTACAAAGTACAAGTGACATCCAAATTAATATCAGATGCTACAGAATCATTAGTTAAAACTAATTAGATATTCCTCTAATAAGGGATTCAGGTGCTGTTTTCTAATCTCCTCTCCTACTTTAAACACAACCCCAACAAAACTTAGTCCCCTATGTCTTAACATCAAAACTAAAAGAGAGAACTGCTTTGAGGAAGTTTTATACAGGGAGAAGTTTCAGCTGAACACAAGATGTAGACAAAATATATTTTATAGCCAGAGATAAAACTCAACAATAGTAACAGTCCATGGTCAATTGATGGGAAAAATAAACAGTTCTGTATGATGCAATGCCTTCAAAAATTATCCCTATAAAATCACATAATACTATAATGAAGTCATAGTGATGTATTGTATCTATTAAGAACAGGTTAAATTATGTTCTACATACTTTTAAAGAGGCAGCTAAGTGAGTGGAGAAATATTTCTAAAAGACTATAGAAAAATAAGTAAAATCTAAAAATGTGATTTGAGTTAAAAACATTTATATTAACTGCTTAACTTCTTTTTTCTCTTGTCAAAATGTAAACACAGATTTAAGAACATTGTAGATGGCCCAGAATAATGTTGTATTGACAAGTCCTCTTATCAGAACACAATTCACTAACCAGTTGGTATTTTCATCAGATAACATCCTAAAGATTCAGTTAATTCAGTGGAACATGTTTGTCCTAGATACTCTTAGGAGTAGCCTTCAGGCAAGAACCAATATTTAAAGGATGAACCAGGAAGAAATCTCCAAATTGCAATAAATACTCCTGTTAAGTTTCATCATCATAACCACAAATGGTTTTAAAGGGTCTTCCTCCCTGGAGGGCCATGGTGAAATGACTGAGCAAGCTAAAAGTCAAAAAATTTGGATTAGTGAAATTAAGCTAAAGTATATCACGAAGTAGAAGTAGATCATAGACACTGGGCTCGTGGAATTTACTAGAAAAGAGAAACATTCCTACAGAAGTCATGCCATAAGAATAGCCTTAAAAATATGATCAATAAATATGGAATGATTTGTGTGTTTCCTACTTGAACTTTTCCCCCCAAGAAATGAAAGCTGTGAATAATATGGTTGTTTGGAACTATTAATAAAAGAGCAATATGCACTGGTATTACCATTGGCAAATTCCCATCAATATTGAAAAAGAAGGCATATTCAATCTTATGCATTATTATGTATTTCTAAACCACACCATTGGGACAAAGCTCAGGTATTTCTAAACTACCAAAGAAAACACTTTCACTTAATAGTTGAATTAAAGGGATTTAGTTGTTAAACCTCAGGCTAAAATTTGTCAAATAACTTTGGAGCACTATAATAATTTTGATCATCAGTCAGCCAACCTGTATTTCTCCATCTTAGTTTGGAGTTAAACCAGAGAAATATAAGATAAGGAATTAACATTCTAGAGTGAGAGAAAGAAAAAGTGTGTTACTAAATTGTGTTTCATTTACCTGAGTCCTGCAATGATAAAGGTGCATAATACTTTACATTTTATTTTTTGCTATTACCTATTTGGCATATGCAACATGTAATTCTATCTTGCACATTTTTTATTGGCCTGCAGGGAAAATAATCTGGATTGTTCATCCTTTCTTCTTGACAAGTTTAACACTGGCTTTCCTTGATATCTTGTTTTGAAGAACAATATCTTAAATACATTGGGTCAGTCCCATGCTACTGATATTATGATATTATTAAGAAATGTTTTTTCCTCTGAAAAGTAGTAACTTTGAAAAAGGTTAACGTTCTATTATTCCAACCTGGTAACACCATTTTGGGGAAAAAAGTAGCTTAACTAGGTTGGCATAACCTATTATCTTATAGAGCTCACTCCTGTCTCTCTTAAAGATTGTGAGCTCTAGAACTTCAATAATATTGGCTGAGAGGCCACAAGTTAGAATGTCTTAAGATAACAACACTATTTAGCTGCTTTTAGAGTACAGTTTAACTCTCCACCAAAAGCAGCATGCATGAACATTTAAAAATTTATTTTTAAGGCAAATCCCCCTGACCTTGCAAAGTGGAACACAGCATATTAAACACAGTGCCTGTGGGTCACAGCCTTGGTTTCAGAGTGAGAAAGGCTTTCTTGGGCTGCGTCAAGGGAGGCAGTATTGATGCCACACCTCTTAGAGATGAGAGTTTTGATTCCTTAGAAACGAGCTGAAAACAAGCAAGCAGCCCACAGCAGGCTGCCGAAAAATTCACCGGACATTGTGTTGCTATTTAATTGAGTGTCTATTAATCATGAGTTAGTGAGATTCCAAGCTATGATTCCTTAAGATATAACTGTTGTGACAACTCATGAAACTCTTAAATTTTCCTCCAGAGCATTATAAGGAAGGAATGGAAAAAGAGGGGGAAGAAGACTTGACGTTTACATTTTATGAATTGTAAATGTGCATAGTATTTACTATTCCTCTTTAGAACTCTTTAGGGAGTACAGTACTTTTCCAGAACCAAGTGACTTTTTATCCTTAGTTAATCAATCAATTAATCAAGTAATTTCAGCAGGTTTGTGACATTATTCTTTGGCCTCAGGCAAAGCTAAGATTTCTTGAAATTTATGTATATAGTTCATCTAAGAGATTATCATCTGAGGTAGATTAATCCTTCAAAAATGTATAGCTGGGTAGCAAATACCAAAACAGAGCAATGTGTTCCCAATTTGGTGCAAGTTTCTGATAGTAGTGTGGGCCAGAAACTTCCTATGGAAAGTAGGAAGATCTGTAATCAGGCAAGAACTCATTCTCTAGGGAAATTGCAAGTGCCCTTATGTAATTAGAGCTATCATAATTCACACCAAAGTCAGCTATTTGAAGGAGAAGGTATGAGGGGGTGGAAATCCTCCTTGTTTGTGTGTGGATGTGGACATTGAATTTTAATTTTAAAGAAATACCCGGAAACAACTGCATTCTCTTTAAATAGTTATCTTTACTGGTAGAATCATGAAGAAGAAGTTTCACATGCAAAGTTTGGGATGGCAAATTCTCCAAAGAAATGGTAAGAACACTTACTTTAAAATGTAATCTTAGGGCACAGTCTCCCATGGAAAGAAATATTCTGTTCAGAAACTTCAGCACTGCTTTTAAACATGCCGCACCAGGTAAAGATAAGTGTTTTGTCTGCAAGTCAAAATTTAAATCAGGGCTCATTTCCAAATGACAGTGATCCTGCTAGATGACCCTACTGCGTGCAGCTGCAAACATTCCAGGAGCATATTATATGCATTTGAAGAATCCCAGACTGTTAGATGTATGAAACTGGAAGCGAGAAACATTTCCTCTCATTAAAGATGCTTTTGAGATAACTGAGTTGCTAGAATTCCTTTAGAAGATGCAGTATCACAACTTCCCTCTCTAAAAACAAGTAAAAATATCCCCGCCTCCCCACCAAAAAATCACCTCCCCATATATCTTGTCAAGCTTCCCATTGGTTTAGGAAACCATACTACAGCCTGCAAATATCCTGTACTCTAGCAGAAACTTTCAGCAGAGCTTCATTCAGGAATTTAGGTAGGATTAAGGCTCTTCCTCTTCAATGAAAACAATAAGGAAGTTTGCTAAGAGGTTAACTTGCCAGAGAATAAATTTAAGTCATACACACTGAGAAGTTATAAATCTCTCCCCAGAAAAAAATGCCTATCAGCATCTCAAGCCAGCCTGGCTTTTAAGAGCATTAAAGCAAAGGCACTAAGCCTAATATATTCACATATAACACATGTGGTGGCCGTTTCCCATGCTTTATAACTCAGAGGGCAGCTGCTGCTGTGTGGGAAATGGACACTGACAGGTACTGGTGATTTATACTGCGGCACTCACAGAGGAGTGGACTGCCAGCCTACCCCGAGCCCTCAGGCTCTGCCATACTCCCGCCACTCAAAAGCAAACCCACATGGGGGCATCTGATCTGCTTTGGTTGGGGGAATGAGAAGAGGTCGCCTAGGGAGGGCGACCAGCCTCATTTCAGCATATCCAGACTACATTAAACACTCACAGATTTTTTTCAATGCAATGGAACCCAAACATGTATGAAGAATTAATTAATATGTATGCCTCATTTTTCACTCATTAACATCCAACATCCAAAATTGTTATCTTATCTGAGATCCCCTGAGACTCTATAAGGTTCCTGTGCCTGTGGCTCATGTCAAATATATAAGAAGATGACATCTTACAGAAGCCAACTAAAAAGTCACCATCCTCCTCCCCCAACATCAAGTCCTCACTCTCTACTGACACTTTTCAGGGCTGTCCTTTGTTAAATCATCACAGTTTCATACAAATCTACAGCAGCTTCAGACTTTACCTAGAAAGTGGGAAAGGGCCCAGTGCTATTGTGCTAGTCTCCATAATCCTTTGTTACCAATCAACAAAGTCTTTAAAACACCCGGCTGAATGGGAATTTCTCTGCCAGTAAACTAGACACTTGGCCTTATTAAGGGCACCTCCTACTGGTCCTTTTATAGAGTGAACTATGCTTTCTCGTTGTAAGTTTCCTGCCATGTTCCTAAACAGGGGAAATTATTACTAAGAGAAAGAAGTGATACTCAGATTAATGAGCAAAGGCCAGAGTGTTGTGAATTGGCAATATCTTAAAAATGCACCATCCACTTTCCTGCGAGCTGCGCAAACTGCATCACGACTCACTTGCAAATAACAGATATAGATTTAGAAGTGCAGAAAAGTTTAAAGATTTAGATCCGTTAGCCTATCCACCAACATAACCCATGTGTATGTGTGTGTATGTATCCCTTCCTTACATCTGCTTTTTCAAGCATAGATCTGTCTGTTGAGGAGAAAATTAAAATGAAGCAGTAATACATGGCCCTGACTCTCTGGACAAGAAATGTAAATAAATGCAAAGAGAATATTTAATTAATTTAGACATTAATAAAACGCACATAAATTTATCTCTATTAATCTACCCCCACCCTATGCCAGACAAAAGTCACTTGAGTAATAGCTTTAAAATACTGTCGTGTAATTGACAAGACATCATTGTTCATTTTTGTACACCTTGCTTCATGCAGTGCATTCAGCTAGCACATTTCAGGTCAGCAGTGCTGCTGTTAGGCAGACTTTCTACCCAGTAAGGGATGCCCCCTGAACTTCCCCTTTCCCGTCCGCATAGGTCTCCCAAACTGCTATAGAAAGCCCAAGTCAATCTTCTGGGCAGAAGGAGGGTCCTCCTCCCCGCAGCCTCTAGCATTTGAGGGTCTCGAGGAGGCAATTTAAAACAGACACCTATTCATTACTGTGGAGATGCCCACCCCCCCACCCCCACCCACCTTTTGCGAGAGTAATTGTTGAGGACAAAGCTCCGGGAGAGAAGAGCCAGGGGAGGAGGGGACCGGCCCGGGAGGGACAGACGGAGGGAGGGAGCACCAGCGGCTAAGCGCGGGGATGCGGGTACGCGCTCATCACAGGACAGCGCGCGTGCACACACACACACACACACACGCACACACACACACCCCTCCTGCCTGCTCTCTCTGTCTCTGGCCAAAGGAAGATGAGGAGCTGAGCCCGAGTGCAAGCGCAGATTCCTGCCCGCGTGCGGCCGAGCGAGGCTTTGGGGAGCCTCGGGCTGCCTTGGCGCTTGACTGTCTGAATCCCTCGCGACAGTGAGAGGCGCATTTTCTGCTCGCGTTCGCAACCCTTGGCCATGCAGCACTTAGCAGAGAAGAGAAAGCCGGAGCTGCGGACTCCGGGGAGGCTGGGGGCTTGGCCGCGATTGATGTGCCATTCCCTGTTAATTTCCCAGGCACGAACTGGGGAGCTCCTACTCAACGCCCGGTCTCTGCCTGAGCCTGTTTTTCCTTTGGATTTGGAAAAAGGTCGTTTCCGAAGGGCTCTCTGAATGCTCATCCAGCCGCTCTCCTCTCCTTCTTTGCCAGGACCGCTCACTGTACCCCAGTGCCCATCTACACTTGCGGTGAGGTCCCGCAAAACAAGTGGACCTTATCATGAGTCATTTTGCTCTTTTCTATTCTTTTGGCCGTCGAAGCCGCCAGCTCCGTATTCGGAGATTACAGCAGTCCTGATCAGCCAGCCTCCAGGTCCCTCTTTCTCCTGCACTAGCCAGATCCAATCCCCAAACAGTTTTGCCATTTTTAATTAGAAACTGAGCTAGGCAAGTGCCAGGGTCAGGGCGCCGGTTCTCTGGAATATCAATCACTTGGAGTTTGGAGGTGTCCTGGAGCTATATGGAGACTCAGCTTGCGAACTACATTCACCGTTAAAAAATAAAACAATATTAAACACACCTCCCCTCCTCCTTGGCAACTCTGTGCCTCCTTCAGTACCAGGATCCCCTCCTTGGAAGTACCAAAACATATTAGCTGTCCCTTTCCCTATTCTCAATCACCAAGTCCAAAAATCCAAACCAAAAGGAGATGTATTCACACACCAACGACTCAGCCCCACCATCTACATTCTGCGCAGACTTCCTCAAAGCCCCTGGATGTCCTCCTCGCCTGCTCCTGTTGCCCCAATCCTCCCCACTTGGTAGGTTTCTGGGGCTTTAAGGACCCAGCCCAGTTCCTTTCAACGATATCCCCAGCACCTGCCCCAGCCCGCCGGCTCTCCAAACCAACCCAAGTATTTGCAGAAGCAAAAATGCGTGAAGCATCAGATTTTAAAACAGCGAAGGGGCGCCCCTTGTACCACCCCCCCACCATCATCCGCCCCCAGGGAAGAAAAAAACTCTTCTATCTTTTATCATCGGTGCGCAAATGGGGGCAGCGCAAGCGCCAAATCTCTTGCTATCCCCCACCCCAATTCTACTACTCGCCAAATGAAATGAGAAGGGAAGTGGGGTACGGAAGGGGGTGCGACGAGAAGAAAGGAAAGAGCCACTTACCGGTTACTTGAAGATGCGCGCTGAACAAGGAAGCTCCGAAGAGTACAAAAGCCAGCTTGGGTACCCAAACACATCTAAGACTATTCTCCATATTTCAGCCAACACCTTCGGGGCCAGGGGTCGCGGGCAGCGGCAGCACTCACACACATGCACTCACACACGCATGCACACATGCACACACACGCGCCGAGCCCCTTCGGCTTCCTCCTCCTCCTCGTCCTCTTCCTCCACCTCTTTCTCCACCTCCCCTGCGCCTCTGCTGCCTTCGAAGCCTTTTTCCTTGTCCACTGACAGAATCAGCAGCAAAAGCAGGCAGCAAAAAGTTCCATTCGGTCCAAGAGATCCCGAGCCCCGGTAAAACCTTAGAAAACTAACTCAAGGAAACGGAGGGAGCCAGAGGAGGGAAGACAGCTCTCTGAGGGGCTCGCAAGTCATCAATAAACCACATCCAGGAGGGACCAAGAGGAGATGGAAGGCAAT
Organism: Homo sapiens; assembly: GCF_000001405.40. Classification (NCBI taxonomy): domain Eukaryota; kingdom Metazoa; phylum Chordata; class Mammalia; order Primates; family Hominidae; genus Homo; species Homo sapiens. The sequence continues at coordinate 52,340,398 of NC_000018.10, read as the reverse complement.
CCTGTGGCCGGGCTGTGCATTAAAAGGTTGAGGCTGGTTCCTTGTCGTCGGTTGGGTAAAGTTGAAGAGACAATTCCGCGCGAGAGCTGGAGATGCTGTTGGTTTTTCTTCCGAGAGCCGAGGGGACCCAGGGAGGAGAGGCGGGGGGGACTGCGGGGTGGAGCGCTCTCACTTGTTACTGGGGTGTCCGCCAGCGGTGTGCGAGCTGGGAGTTGGAACCGTACTACACATTGATCCGGAGAAGTGGAGGGCTGGAAGGGAAAATGTGGAGACCGGAGGGAAACGAACTGGATCAGGCAAAGATTCCACGGGAAGGGGGTGGGGGCAGACAGACTATGGCTTAGGGAAAAAAGAGCGGACCGAGGAGGCTTCCAGGAGCTGCATTTGCCTGGTCTGCGTATCAATGCGCAGGGATGCCCTCTGTGGGCAAAGCGTGGGAAGTCACTTTTGTCAATGGAGCCTGCGAACATCCTGAGCGTCTGGAGGTTTTGCAGCGACCGTGTTTGACACTCAGCCTTCAGGAAATTATTGGTATTTGACTGTAAAACCTAGGCGGGCGTTTAAGGCGGAGGAGGTGGCCAGGATGTTTACTTCCTTCTCTGCCCTTGGCATTATTTAAAATACAATTTTTCATTTGGAAAGAATCACCTGATCCAACTCCCTTCTAGGACGGGAGGGAAATCGAGATCCTGAAACACACAGCGGACAGGACAAAGGCCAGAGTTATTTCCTGACATAATAGCTAAGGGGCCTCCTTTTGTAGGACGTCTCATGTCGTCTGTGTTCTCTCTTCTCTCGCAATTGTTTTCTTTAACATATTTAAAAGCACTTATCATGTTCCAGGTGTTCTGTTGGCTCCCAGGAAATAGTTGGGACATCCAGTGAGACTCAGTCTCTATCCTCAAGGGGTTTGTGATCCGTCAGGAGAGAAGCTAAATGGATAATTATAAAGTATCGTGATAAATATGATGGTTCACGTAATGGAGGGGGTGCTCTGGGAAAACAAGAGAGACATTTCTCCAGTCCCTGGCAGATAAAGTGAAGCAACCATACACACGCGTGTGTGTGCACACACACACAAGCACACACACAGCAGGAAACTTAGGAAGGGTGAACAGTAAAGCCCTTTCAGGAAACTGTTTTAAGCTGAGTTCCTTTGCATAACTTGTCTCTGCTGCGGGAACTCAAGCTCCTTTGAGAAGAGAGAGGTTGTATGCCATCCATTTTTGCACTCCTCACAGATGCTAGCATAGAACTTGGAATTCTGCACATGCCAATACGTTTCTGCAGAATAAGTGAACTTACAAACCAATTAATTTGGCCGGGAAGGATAATGAATAGAAATGTCATTCTGGTAAAATTCTGTCGTTTAAGGAGATGTTCAGCTGTGGATTCAGACCATTCCTTACTAGATTCTTCCCCACCTGTTCTTGTCACCCTCCCATGCTCACCAGGCTGTGAGCAGAGAGAATGTGAACATCTATTTAAGAAGAAAGGCGTGAGGGAAAGCATGAAAAATCCAGGATAAAATCATCATCAGGGAAACTCCTATGATGCTGGAACTGGACAACAGTGTTTTAGATCCCTAGTCATGCCCATTCCTTCCTGTCCTGGAAAAGTTAAAATATGAAGTGCCTGTGTTCACTAAAGCAAAACCTTCTGAAATAGCTTACATGGATGGATTCTTTAGAATTGGATGAAACTCTTTGGTTACCCCCAAATTTCTTGAAACACTCAAAACTTCCATTAGCTGAGGTGAAGCCTCTAGTGGTTCAGGACTGGGTTCTACAGCAAGGGTTCTTAACTCAGTCCATGAATCTTCCCAGGAAGTCTCCACCAACAAAATTCAGGAAGTTTGTGAATATCCTGAAATTTTATGAAAAGTGATTGGCTTGTGTGAACATGCTGTTTAACTGGGAAGGGAATCTTTAGCTTTCAGTAAATGTATAAGGTGAGTTCAAGCCTGCCTCCCTGCCAAAATGATGTAAAGAACCATTGCATAAGATAGTAGGTATGAGGGAAGAGTTGCAACTTCTTCTCAAGACTAATGAAGTCCTGTATTTCCCATATCAGTAATAGGATGTCTTCAACAAGTGGGAGGGAGGGTAGGAAACCAAAAATGGTCCATGTTGCTCAGATCTGGATTTTTCTTCAAATTTATTTTAAGTTCATGGTACATGTGCAGGATATGCAGGTTTGTTACAGAGCTAAATGTGTGCCATGGTGGTTTGCTGCACAGATCATCCCATCGCCTAGGTATGAAGCTCAGCATCCATTAGCTATTCTTCCTAATGCTTTCCCTCCCCTCAGCCCCTCCCTCTGAGAGATCCCAGTGTGTTTTGTTCCCTCGCCATGTGTCCATGTGTTCTCATCATTTTGCTCCCACTTATAAGTGAGAACATTGTGGAAGACATTGTGGTTATTCCTCAAAGACTTAGAGGCAGAAATACCATTTGACCCAGCAATCTTGTTACTGGATATACACCCAAAAGAATGTAAATCATTCTATTATAAAGGTACATGCACACATATGTTCATTGCAGCACTATTCATAATAGCAAAGACATGGAATCATCCTAAATGCTCATCAATAATAGACCGGATAAAGAAAATGTGGTGTATATACACCACGGAATACTATGCAGCCATAAAAAGGAATGAAATCATGTCCTTCACAGGGATACAGATGAAGATGGAAAGCATTATCCTCAGCAAATTAATACAGAAACAGAAAACCAAATACCACTCAGATCTCCTTCAGCCTCACATAGCTGTTCTAGTGATCAAGTTACTCTTCACTATGGCCCTTGACCCCTGTACTGAGTAATCCAAGCCATCAGTCCACTGACTAATGGGCTTCTACAAAAGACCATTGACTTCTCTTCCTCTTAGATACTCATTTGGTTCCACAGCTAGCTTCTGAAAGTTGCTTGTATTCTCTTCCCCAATACTCTTTCCTTCATCTTAGATGACTCAGCTTGATTTTAGAGTATTCTCTTAGAAACAACTTTGCTATTTTCTGACTCACAGTTCAGTGATTTATACTTGAGAGACACTGCGTCTCCTCATCTCTCCTCTCAGAGGTATCAGGCCCACTTGCCACATAGCCTCTTACTAGGAAAACAAAAACAAAAAAAGAATATCAAAAGATCAGGCAGAAACAGGAGAGAAATGCGGGCCACAGCAAATAGTTTAGCATAGCTGATACTCTTCACATAGTATTTAAGACGTTTTGAAAGACCCCTTCTGAGGTTTAATCTGGTGATAGAATATACAGATGTCCAGACACACTTTTGAGTTCAGAAGGTGCATTAATCTGCACTTTCAGTTTTTTCAAATCACATATACTCTTAGTTATGTGTGTATTAGGGGTGGGGGTGTATGAGGAGCATTGATTTTCTGAGATTAGGCCAAGAAAATAAGACAAATTAAAAGTGTACAATTCCTTTCAGAACATCCATTTTGGAACTGCATTCTTGTCTTATTTTTATTCTGAAAATTAATTATCTGAATCTATTTTTGTTCTCCCAATATCATAATCTGACTTTCAATACTTTCTAAAACATATTTGAGAAATATATTTGCAAAACCAATAACACCTAGTCAAAAGGTATTATAAAGCTATGAATTTTATTACGTTGCAGATCAAATCACATGAATGTGACAATATAATAGTTCACCATTTAGTCATTTAAGAAAGCCAATTATTATATTAGACTTAGGCTATGTGCTATCTATATAGAATATACAAATATAAATATGATGTGGTCATTTGACATGGGCTAATTTACAATCATGGGGTGAAGTGGTATATTTTAGGTGATATTTGTGGGCTTTTGTTTTTGTTTTTTGTTTGCTTGCTTGTCTTCCTCCTAATCTCTTCTAACTTATTCTAATAACAGGTCTTACAGTTTGCTCTGAGGGTACTACTGCTCCACATTTCTCAACTACAAAATTGAGGTAATGGATCCTGAATCACTTTAGTCACGCAGAGTAGCCTGTCTTTCTGATCACGATGAGAAATTCAAAACTGAGCCCTCAGCCAATCAGAGTGAAGAAGACATTTTCTGGGGCTTGTTTGAAGGAGAAGCTTTGCGTCCCTCATGGAGGCACTGCTGGGAGTAATCCTTTTCCCCTCAGACTGTGGAAGAGTATGAGTTTCAATGAAGGGACTAATTTAAAAGAAATCTTGGTGCTTCCATCAGATCCCCATGAAGAACCTGTGGTAGGCAGAAAAATACCCTCCACCCCCTACCTCAAAATACCTACATCCGAATCGGCAAAACCTGTGAAAATGTGACTTTACATGATAAAAGGGATTTGCAAATGTTATAAAGTTAAGATCATAAGATGAGGCGATTATCTTTGATTACCCAATGTGCCCAGTGAAATCACAGGGGCCTTAGAAAATGGAAGAGAGAGACAGAAAGCCAGAGTTGGAGGAAGGGATGTGAGGGCAAAAGCAGAGGTCAGGGCACAGTGATGCCATTACTGGAAGGGTTCATGAGCCAAGGAATGCAGGCAGCCTCTGAAGGTTGGAGAAGGAAAAAAACCAGATGTTCACTGGAGCCTCTGTAGGGAACACAGTCCTACTGATATATTGATTTTGGCTTTGTAAAATCTTTACTTGAATATTTGACTGTAAGATAATAAATTTGTGTTGTTTGTGTTGTTTTCTGTCATTAAATTTGTGGTGGTTGATTGCAAGAGTAATAGAATGCTAGTATTGATTTTGGTTCCCTGGAGTGAGACGCTGCTGTAACAATACTTAAAATTGTCCAGGTGACATTGGAATTGGGAAACAGAAAAAATGCCTAGATTGCCTTGAATAGACTGTTAGTAAAATATGGACACTAAAGGCATTGATGATGAGGTCTCAGAAAAAAATGCAAAATGGGGTCCTTGTTATATAGTGGCAAAAATATTAGCACAGTTATTTCTTACTACTATGTGGAGTGCAGAACTTGCAAGTGATAAACTTGGATATTTGCTAAGATTTCCAAACAAAGTGTTGAAGATGTGATCAAATTTCTCCTTGCTGCTTATAGTAAAATATGATAAAGAGATAGACTGAGGGAAAAACTCTTTATATAAAAAGAAAACAACAGTACTTGATTTGGGAAATTATCAGCCTATTCAGATTATAAATCACACTGAAATTAGGAAATTTATGGTTAGGAACGCATACTGTGTAGAGAAAGTAAATAGTGTGTTGCTCATGCCTCACAAAGATCAAAAGATCAGAATATTCAGTCATGCAGTGGGTTTTTTGAGGAAATTAGGCATGTGACTCATGGATCCTCTCAGCTGTCTTGACAGAAGCCAGAAGTAAAGAAGAAGTTATGCAGGAAAGGCCTGTGGAAGAGTCTCCTCTCTAATAGAGTAAATACCCAAGACATATGTGGAAGACCAGCAAGCTTCTTGAGATTGTTATATCAGCAGAAACACTGCCAGATTGGACTCAAAGGGACAAAGAAGACAAAATGAAAGAAGGCTGCTAGATTTTTAAAATTCTACAGGCAGGAAAGAAGCTACGAGTACTCAGTTGCAAGTAGGTACTACCCTTATGAAAAAGAATGAAAGAAAAATAATTACAAGGTCAGAAATATGAACCTAGAGGGCAGAGCTCAGAGCCAAGAGGATGAAGACATAAACCACAGATAATTGTTCCCAAGACTTGAAAACTAATGTTTTTTTTTTTTTTTTGCCAAGCTGGATTTCAAAACTTCTTGGGACCAAGGATTCCTTTTATTTTCTTCTGACTTTCTTCCTTTTGAGAAGAAGTTTTGTAGCTGGCTTTGTGTGCTGTTACAACATTGTATTTTGAGATCATATAACTTGCTTTCTAGCTTCACAGGTCCATAGAAAAGAGGAAATCTTCCCCAGTATGGGTCATAGCCAGAGTCTTACCCATACCTGATTTAGATGATGTGATTTGGGTCCTTTGAGCTGCTAATGTGAGATTTTTTGGACTCTGAGTTGATGCTGTAATGGATTGAAACTTCTGGACATGCTGGGAAGGGATGAACGTAGTTTTCATGGGAAATCAATGCGAATCTATCAGGACTAGAAGGAAGACTGTGGAAAGGAAGATAACAGCCCTCCAAAGATGCCCACATCCAGATACTAGGCCAGACTGTTACCTGACACGGCAAAAGGGACTTTGTGATGTGATAAAGATGGATTTTGCAATGGGGAGATTATCTTGGATTATCTAGGAAGACCAATTACAATCATAAGCATCCTTAAAAGTTGAAAGAGAGAGGCAGAGTAAGAAAGGGATGTATGACAATGACAGCAGAAGTCAGAGTGATATCATTGCTCAAGAGGAACCACAAGCCACAGAATGCAAGCAGCCTCTAGAAGCTAGAGGAACAGGCTCTCCCCTGGAGCCTCTAGAAGGAGCACAGCCCTGTGAACACTTTGATTTTATAAGTAAAAGATGCATTTCCTGACTTCTGATCTCCAGAACTGTGAGATAATAAATTTGTTTTTGTTTTAAACCACAAATTTGGTAGCAATCTGTTATAGCAGCAACAAAAAAGCTAATACAGAACCTGAAAATGAAGTTGAAACTGTAGAATCAAAGTGAAGAAACAGAAAGAAACTGAGATTTTGGTTACATTATTTGGGTCATTGGAATAAGCCATCTAACCTAAAGCCATCCCTGCCTTTGGATTTCTCACTTATAGGGGTCAATTAATTCTTTTATTATTTAATCCAGGTTAAGGAGAATATATACATTTTACAACATGAAGCATTCTAATTAAACTAATTAAAAACAAGGATTCTATTTAATAAGTGCTTTTTCCCACTTTAAAATTTATGATTTTTTGTCCAGTGCCAGTTTTGCAACTGATTTTTGGTCAACAGACGTCTAATTCTGGGTGTGTGGCCATATGACAAGGAAGGAAAGGCTTCATTACTATCATTCATCAGCAAGCTTTTCTTAATGCCTAATATCAATATAAGAGAACAAGATGGTTGCATGGAAGAAAAAGAAAGAGTTCATCCTTTCAAGCAGCCTCCAATCTGAACAAAGAAAACAGGTGTATTTTTTGACCTATAATTTAAAACTCTATTTATGTAATAGCCTCCCCCAACAACAACAACAAAATACTGCAGTAGTTTAGAGACAGGAGGGAGTGAGGTGTTCAGGGATGACCTCTTGGAGATAATATAATAAGACTCAGTGGTCCTATTAATCTAGCAAAGAGTTTGAGGTGATAATGGGTATGTAAAATTCTGGAGTCTGAGACTAAATCAGCTAGATAGAAGAGGGTGATTTGTGTAGGGCATGGTAGGGGGAAAATCTCCAGCAAGGAAAGGGTCCTAGAGTGCTTATTCCAAAAATACCCAACCTTTCTTGCTTCAAATATGTATTTCCAAAGAGATGGCTGAATCACTTTTGTTAATCTTTAAGGAATAGGAGAGGCATTTGTGCCTTTTGAAAATAGGTTTCCTTGATTTTTTTTAATGGAAGGCTATAGTTATTTCTAACTACAGTCAAGTGAGCTTGAAATCTCTCTCAGACTGGAGATAAAAATTAATTATTTAAGACATGATTTATAAACACTTAGGAAAGGATGTAAGGCCACTGGGAGCCAGCATGGGTTCACTTAGAATAAATTATTGCAGATTGAAATGACTGAAAATTAACACAAAAAAAATCATATCTGGATTTTTACAAGTGTTTTGTATTATACTCATGGTATTGTTGTAAATACCTAAGTTAAATATGATCCAAACTATAATGAAGTGTGGTGAATCCCTACTACCAGAGTGTGTATTAATTGGTCAATATCAATTAACGCCCAGTTAAAAGATTATTCTCCTGTGACTTATCATAGTGCTCTGCTTCCCCTCGTCCCCATAGCAAATATTTTTAAACTGATACCTGGCATGGAGATATTAACATGCAGAATAAATTAGTTGGTGATAGAAAACTAGAAGGAATAACTATTATAATTGTCAGCACCATTAAAATTCAAAAAGATTTCAGCAGAATAGAACAATGAAATTAATCTAAAATCTCTAAATGAATGAAAATACTTGGAAAGGACTACACTTGGTAACTCCTCCAGACACCTACCCACTCCCAACAAAAAATCCCAATTCAGCAAGTGAGCAATAGGAAATAATAGGTTTGACTTCAAATGAGTGTGAAAAAATGTGAACATTTCGATTGTCTTTAAATTTGACAGAAGAAATTTATGTGTTGTATCCACTAAAAAACCCAATGCCATGTTATGTCACATTTGAGGTGATGGTGAACCCACGGTAGGGTGGTAAATACTCCTCTGTTTTGCACCGACAGTATACCCTGAGGTTCCCTGTTCAGAGAGAGCCTTCATTTCAAAACTGTATTTGCCCCTTTTGCTTTTTAAATTACCTCTTCTTTCTTTATTGCCCTGTAAATGTGGGTGCCTCCTGGTTGAGTTTAGAATTAAAATTAGTATGAGTCCTAGTAAATATATATTAATGTATCTTACATATATTTATTTAGTGTAATGTAACATATTACATTACGTATAATATGTAATGTATATGTTCAATGTAATATATATTTAATCATGTAATGTATTAATATTATACATTACTAATTTCACACTAACATTGTCTATTATATCATAATAGATTTTATATATAATATAGAGTTGCTTTAACCACTTGCAACTCTTTCCAAACCATTAAATATACAAACCTCTCTCTATATACATACATACATAGAATCCGCTCTCTATATAGAGAGAGAAACCTATCTCTCTATATATAGAGACATGTACACACATATGTATACATAGAGACATATACACATGCACATATATGTGTATATGTGTATGTGTGTATATACATATATATAGAGAGAGAAAGAGTTGCTTTAACCACTTGCAACTCTTTCCAAACCATTAAATATACATCTATCTGTGTGTGTATATATATATTATATATGTGTGTGTGTGTGCGTGTATATATATATATACACATACATATCTGTATGTATATTTAATGGTTTGGAAAGAATTGCAAGTTGTTAGAGCTCAACTCTGTGAGGAAGTAGGCCTGAGTGGAGAAACTAAGAAAATGGCTTTTTATGGTCATGTTAGTGGAAAGAGAAGAGGTGAGAATGTATGCCTAGTGACCACTCTGGGGATAGACTGAATTTCACATGGAATAGAAGAGAAACATGCTACCACCATTTACATGCCTATTATGTATCAGGCTGTATGCCAGGCACTTGACATATGTTATCTCTTTAATTCTCATAATAACCTTGTAAAGTATTTTCATTTGTATTCACAGATGAGAACCCTGAAACTAAGGGAGTTAAAATTGCCGGCCCAACATCACACACTTAAAAAGTAGAAGAGCTCATACTTGAGTAGGCACTACTCCACAGATGCCTATAATCCTGGCACTGCTGGTCAGGCTGCCCCCGGTTTATATAGGGAAGGGAGGCTGTCATAAGAAACAGCTCCTCAGAGAGACACCATCACTTCTCTGCAGCTAGCAATATCTTCCTTGGATATGGGCTGTATATTTAATTGTGTCATAGGCTATTATAAAAATTCCAGCTGAGCAACTCAACAAGAGTGCCCTGAAAGTGTCCTGGTAATGACTTGCAATGAGAAATGGTAAGGGAACTTTATCCTGGGCTCTAGATGGCGTTGGCTCAAAATACTCTATTGCAAACTTGTTGAAATGTCTGGGAGATACGAGCATTAGGAACCTGAATGGATATTCTTCACATCCTTCCAACCAGCAGTCCCCAACCTCCAGATGGCGGCCCACAGGAGAGCAGAGTTGGCAGTGTTTCAGTAATCATCTTCTACAAGTTATCTCCAGAAACATGGGTAGTTTCTTTTATAATAACCCATAGCAGTGGAGGAAAAAGCCTTATTGATTTCCAAAATGGGAAAGGAGATTTCCTTCTGTCTCAGAAAACAGCCAAAGAAAGTTCTTTTGCAAGTAGAAAAGTGTCATTTTTGCAGTTGAATACTCTTGAAAATTGGTACTTTTGCACCACTCTACTCCCCGGCACTGGGGGAATTCTCCTTCTGAGGCTGGGAAAACTGCTTCTGAAATAGCCTATTTGTTGCTACAGTGGTGAACTACGGAGGTTTAATTGAATAATTTCCTGTTTCTAGTTCCACCATGTGAAACATTGCAGAAGGCCTAACTGCTGGCTTTGATTCATAAGAAAACTTGTGATGTTTTTTCTTATATAACATGGGTTCTCTCAAGTCCACAGCACTGAGACACTTTTGAAGAAAAAAAAAAAGAGGAGACAAATCTATTTTTTTGAGGTGTGATAGTAAAGGAGGTGAGGGAAACTTGAAAAGCCTAGACAGGAAGACTGCACTGTATTGGAAAGGAAAAGGAATAGCTAAGACAACCGGAAAGAAATGATACTCCTAGGCTTCTGTAAAAGAAGGAGAACCCAAACCTTTACAATGTCATCATCACCAAACCAATAAAATCATTGAGATCTAATGTTCCGGAGGGTGAGACAAGAACATTTGCCTACTGATTTTTTAAACTAACACATTAAAATATAGGCACTTTAGTTTCTACACAAAATATTGCCCTTCCTCATGAACATATTGACTGCATCTCCAAATCTAATTAATTAGTAATTTTGTGTAGTTTCATGCTTACTTCGCAAAGTGTGAAAATATATTCTTTTAGAAATTGCTTTAAGTACTTTAAAATAAAAAGGCCAATGCTGTCATTGAGTTTACATTGTTTTCTCATGTATGAAAGATCACCTTCTCATCAACAGGAAATATATTCTAAAATATTTTCCTTGGGATGTTTGGCCTTTTCCCTGAAGAGGATGGAAGAATTCCCAATGCAAATATTTATTTAGATTTTTAATAATAATTTAAAAATAACAAAAGGAGGTAGGTTATCTGAAGATTGTACATCTATACAATGGACTAAGGTGTAAGCCTTAAAAATGATGCTATAGAAAAATGATGTGTTGACATACTTCGTAACATCTTAAATGAAAAAGTGAAAAACTATTCAAGTATCATACATTGTATGATCCTACTTTTATAATTAATATGCACACACACACACACAAATCTGACATAGTAGAAAGGGCAGGGGCTTTAAGATCAGCTAAACCTAAGTTCAAATCAATTATCTGTGCTATATGACTTTAGTCAAGTTAAAATCTCTGTGCCTCCATTTCTTCCTTTGTAAACGGGAACTTAAATATGCTCCAAGAGCCACTGTGCTTCCAACTTGTACTCTATACAATCTCTTCTCAATATAGCCAGATGATTTCTTTTTAAGTGTAAGTCAGATCAGATCACTCTGCTCAAAATCTTTCAGTGGTTCTACATCTTACTCCTCTCCCTCAAGTTCAATTTCATCTCCCTCAAAACTAAAATTCTTTACAGTGCCCCATGATGAATACAAACACTCACAGGACCTGCTCCTCCCTCTCTTTCACTCTGAATTTGACTCCTGTGTGTCCCCACTCAGTTTACTTCTCCAGCCACTGGCTTCCGGCTGTTCCTGGCCACACAGGGACCAACCCATCTCAGGGTCTTTGCACAAATTTCCTCTCACTGGAATATTCCTGGCCAGATAGCAAAGTGGCTTTTTTCTTAACTTCTTTGGGTCTTTGCTCAAACATTAATTCCTCTGGTAAGACTGTCCTGACCTCTTTTCTTACAGAAGGTACCAAAGAAGAAGTACAATCTTAAGTAAGAGAGTCAAGGAATCAGGGGATTATTTTTTGTTCTTGAATTTTTTTCTCTACCCCACCACTTTTGTTGGTTACTGCTAACCCATCTTCAGTTCTCAACTCACTTATTAATTCTTCAGAAAAACTATAGATGAAATTCTCTATTATAACCACTCATCTCTCCACGTGCCTCTCCTTTACTGCACTTATCACAAATGGCCATTTTACATAATTATATGTCTGTCTTTCTCACTAGAGTGTGAACATGATGAAAATATAGATTTTTGCTCACCATTATATTCCCAGCTGTAGTAATAATGACTGACATGTAATAGAAGTTCAATATGTACCTTGTTAAAGCAAAGTAAATACGGCCTGAGAAAGACCCCATACTTCTATATTTGAGTCCTTGTGGATGAATTGCAACCTAACTTAATAGGTAGATAAGATTGAAAACCCAACTTAAGAGTATGTTTCTGTAACAATAGCTTAGTCCTGGCCAATCCCAGCAGCCATACTTCAACCACTCATGCACTGCTGAGCATTTAAATTGTCTTCAAATAAGGTGAACACTGAGCTGTAACCAATCCAGTTGTTTCTGTACCTCACTTATGATTTCTATATTTCACTCCCTATTTCCCTTTTTATTGTCTATAAATTTGTTCTGACTACAAGGCATCCCTGGAGTCTCTCTGAATATGCTGTGATTCTGGGGGCTGCCTGAATTGCAAATCATTCATTGCTCAATGAAACTCCTTTAAATTTAATTTGGCTAAAGTTCTTCTCTAACCCTTTTTGAAGAAATGCCTATTTCTTCATTGCACACAGGAGCTTTGGAAAGAGAAGGTCCTATGATCCATGATTCAGGGGCCCAGCCATCTTTCAGTCTTGTCTCAGCAAACAGTTGTTACACCAAGAACAGGTCAAGTCAGAAAGAACAGTTCTAGTGTAGCATCCTGTGCCAAAGACATGTCTTGGCATTGAGACTTGGCACAGTGCAGTTCAAATCAATATGTGGAGGTCATTCATCACCAAATATTGGGCAGAGGATGTGACTGGACCGGAAGGTAGGAATCTACTTCTGAGATTAGGTATAGGCTGGGGGGACTCACACAAGAGAGAAATGGGAATGATTACATAAAATATGATGCTTTTTGTTCTCACTTTTAAGTGGGAGCCAAATGATGAGAATACATGGACACATAGAGGGGAACAACACACACAGTGTGGCCTTTTGGAGGGTGGAGGGTAGGAGGAAGGGGAGGATCAGGAAAAATAACTAATGGATACTACACTTAATACCTGGGTGATGAAATAATCTGTACAACAAACCCCTATGACACAAGTTTACCTACGTAACAAACCTGCACTTGTACCCCTGAACTTAAATAAAAGTTAAAAAAAAACACTCTTTCAATAAATACTTAAAGGCTCAATTCTTGGAGACTGTAAAGAAGATTATAAACACAAGTATTTGTATCTCTGCCCTTGGACTACTTCTACCTTTCATCCGTGTTTAATGTCTCCTATCTAGACTGTAAACAGGAAAACCAAGGAATTTAAAAAATAACGTAGTTAACTATAAAAATTGCTTTTGAATGTAGCCATTTAAATTGTTTATAATAGATTATTCATCAGATATTAAAATTCTTATTTAATCTAAGTGAAAATACCAGCTCTATATCTACACTATGATTTGCATTTTATAAAAATTACACAAATAGAAAAATTAGGATGAAGAATGACAAAATGGTACTCATAGATATCCCTGAGAAAAGAGCCGAGGAGTGTTATGTTTATTTCCTGTTCTTCTGAATGATAATTAACATGGAGTACTGTGACAATCAGGAAAATATGAAAATGTGGTATCATCTGTTGTTTTTACTGCTTGCATCCATTCATCCTTCTTCGCATGCTGAACTCTCATTTCTCAGTGTAGAAACAAGCCTTCTTCCTCCTCATCTCAGGCTGTTCTTTGGGTGTTTTCCCCAGCCATGAAGGTGTGTTAGGAATGTGACTATGACCCACCTGGAACCTGTGTGATGCACCGAGATTTTGCTGGAATGCTTGGACAGAGCATGAGGAGATTCCTGCTGGATTTGAGCTGAGAGGATTTCAGGCCTGGAGCTGCTGCTCTTTCTTTCAATGTAAGAAAAGAGTCTGTCTGAGGATGGGTCTCACATAGAGGGAGAAAATCACAGAGAGATAGAAAGAGTCCCAGTAACATTAAGCCTCTGATTAAGTTGAAGCAGAAGGTGATCATTTCCCTTGACTTTTAAGGTACTTGAGCTACCATAAGTTTTCTGTTTATTCCATTTTATCTGGATCTTCTTGAAATCAATAGAATCATGCATGATATGGGGAAATGTCCCTCTTTTTTTCATATCATGGGTGATGGTGACCAGGATGGGATAAACACAGGATGAGGAAGGCCTTTACAACTGCTAGGACTCTGACTACCACTTACCACAAAGGGTCTTTTGGCAATCTTCCCAGTTCTGAGAGATGAATTAGTCAGTCTGAATACAGCACTCAAAGGGCCAATGTTACAGCCCCATATCCTGTATCAGTCATTGCAGAGTTCACTGCATCAACAAACAGCAACCTATATTTACCCCCGAATAAAAGGTATTTCTGTAAATAATACCATTTTGCATTTCTCCAATAAGAAAATCCCTACTTTTTTTTTGGCTAATGTGAATATGAAAATCACTTTTAGGGATGTTGATAGAATAGTTAAATACTGCTTAAATGATTGGTTCATTTGGATTTATGTACACATTTTAAACCATATAAAGTATGCATAATATATTAATTTAGAAAAGTTATTTTCCACTCACATTTTAGCAGTTGTACTTATCCTCTTCACATGCATTCTTTTTTTTTTTTTTTTACTCTCACTCCAACATTATTTTATTTTATAATTCAGGGGGTACATGTGCAGGTTTGTTATGTGGGTATATTGTATGACACTGAGGTTTAGGATACAAATAATCCCATCACCCAGGTAGTGAATATAAAACCCAGGTTTTATGTGGTTTTCAGCCCAGATCCCTAACTCTCTCTCCTCCCTCTGGTACTCCCTAGTGTCTATTTTCACATGCATTCTTTTTTTTTTTTTTTTTTTTGAGGCGGAGATTCACTCTTTGTTGCCCAGGCTGGAGTGCAATGGCACGATCTCAGCTCACTGCAACCTCTGCCTCCTGGGTTCAAGTGATTCTCCTGCCTCAGCCTCCCACATAGCTGGGATTACATGCATGTGCCACCACGCCCGGCTAATTTTGTATTTTTAGTAGACACGGGGTTTCTCCATGTTGGTCAGGCTGGTCTCGAACTCCCGACCTCAGGTGATCCACCTCCCAAAGTGCTGGGATTACAGTTATGAGCCTCCACACCCGGCCAATTTCACATGCATTTTTAACATCAGCATCTGCATTCTTCACAGGAATTGTTTCCTAGTCACGTGTTCCACAGTTTTCCAGAACACATCACCTTCTCATTCTACTATGTTGAGATACAGCCATTTTGAATCTATACCCCAAACTACAAGTTGCCATTTTCACAAAATGTGGCAATTTTATTTCTCCATTCTTTCCATAGCTGTAGAACTGGTGTCTTCAAAGCCTAACTGCTTTCAGTATTATTTTTGTAAAATGATCATTAAAAATCTTGTTACGATGACCTCAAATACTTGCAATCTTGGGGTCATATCCTTAAGAATAATTACTAAATTCATACCAATTTTTTTTACCTTAAATAAAACTACATTAGGTGACCCATGTAAACATACAAAACTGTTATGAATTGAGATCAACACAAAGCTATTTTTTTCTGAAGGGTGCTTTGTTATTGACAATAAAGAAATAGAATAAATGACTCCTAGTATCTCCAAATACTGGATAAGAAATAACCTTCTAAGGGAAAAGACATCTTAACTTGAGGCATATGTAATATTTTGGGGTAGGATTACAAACAGCTAAAAAAATTGCTGTGTCTATATTCATAGCAATTCTGACAACAAATGTGTGGGTTTTCCATACTAAGCAATTCTGCAATTTTCTGTGGCCATCTACTGGGTGTCCTACAATTTAATTTAATTCTGACATTAACTACACAGAGTTAACACAGACCTTACAGATTAAGGGCTCAGTACCACAAGACTGCCCCCCACTTCAGATGCCAATCTTAAATAGTGGGCCCCCAGATTACCCACATTTTTGGCCAACTTGGCTACAAACCAGAGTTTCCCACAATCCCTTCTTCATGTTTGATAATTTGCTATGAGGCTCACAGAACTCAGGAAAACACTTTACTTATATTTACCCATTGATGATAAAGGCTATTAAAAAGAGCACAGATGCAGAGCCAGATGAAGAGGTACCTAGGGCAAGGTTTGGAAGGCCCTAAATGCAGGAACCTTTGTCTTCATGGAGTTGGGGTGCATCACCCTCCCAGCGCAGCAGTGAGTTCGGCAACCCAGGAGCTCTCCAAATCCCCCTTTTAAAGAGTTTTATGCAGGTTCCATGATGTAGGCATGATTGATTAAATCATTGATCATTGGCGGTTGACTCAATCTCAACCACCCTCCTCTCCCTGGAGGTGGAGGGGGTGAGTGGTTTGAAGTTCCAGCCCTCTAATCACATGGTTGGTTCTTCTGGTAACCAGACCACACTGTAAAGCTACGTAGAGAACCTAAGCCATTAGCCATCTCATTAGCATAAAAAAGACACTCTTCTCACTCTGGAGACTCCAGGGGTCTGAGAAGCTCTTGGGTTGGGAAAAAGGTATCCAGATGAAATATTTTAACAAAAGATGTTCCTGTCACCCCTATCACCCAGGAGTTACAGGGGTTTTAGAAGCTCTGTGCCAGGAATCAGGGGCAAAAGACCTTCTTACTATGTCACAACAACTTAAACATGATCTTCCAGGACTTTACAAAACTTTCTGTGTGGAGGGGAAAGCCAATGTACTGACAAGTGCAATTCAGTATGACAAGCCCTAAGACATGGGCAGTATAGTGCACCAAAAAGGCCAAACAGAGGACTGTGCTATCTGGACTCCAGAAAATCTGGGAAGGCTGCCCTAAAAAAGGAATACCTAAGTGGCCCCAAATAATGACTAAAGGTAAACGAAGAAATCATGTGTGGCAGATGGTGGTGGAGAAGTGAAAGGTGGATTACAGATCAGAGGGGAAAAGCAGAATGTGCCAAGCTGAGGGACTAGCATTCGCAAAAGCACAGGTCAGGGAAGCATTGCATCTTTTATGGTAAAACCCCGATCTTTCTCCTAAAAGATCAGACTTTTTTTGATTGTTTGGTTGGTTGCCATTGTTAATATATTTTAATATTTCCCTGTGTTGAGAGCTGCTGAGGACACTGTTGGCCAAATGGTCCCAATTTTTCCAGGCCCCAGGGTTTTCCAGGACAATATGGCATTTCCCTGCCAGATGGGGAAATGCTAGAAATAAGCGGCATTAATAAAAAGGGCCAAGTTCATGATCATTTTAAAAGCATATGAAATACCAAGATGCAAAATTCATTTTAAAGAGCCATGTTACTTAAGCCTTGCCAGTTCCGCTCTTGAGCAAGAGATGCCCCCACCCCTGGCTCTGCCCACAGGTCTGTACTGGTAATAGCTCAGGACACATCTGCTTAATGGGAGCTGAGATGTACTTCCCAAATTGGCACTCTCATTCAAAAATATTTTTTGAGTTTTTACTGTATATAGAGAATGATGCTAGATGTATATAAGATTCAAAATCAAACATATCACCAACTTTCTGCTAGTGGTAAGTTTATAGTCTAGGAAGGGCAAGATGCTGCTACATCGTGAATACCTTTAGTGCCAGACACGCACAGATGGCATATTAAGATGTGCTCTCTTGAATTATTTTCTAAGTGTTTCTTATACCCATTAGACTTTAACATTTTATCAATATATATACAATTAAAACTTTTGAAATATGAGAAGAAATCAAGTAAAACCCACAATTGTAGTGTGATTACCAATAAATTGTTTTTTAGACTTTGGTAGATCTAATTTGTTTAAAAAATACAAATAGAAGGGGTCAGAAGTTGAAATGACTGGATGCAAAGCCCCTGGCTTAGAGCTCTTCAAATCCTTTCTGCCTTAGGACAGAATTGGCCCCAGAGTCTGGGGCAGATGAGACCTTCAGGTTTTTGCTGAGTAGCTCTAATTCTCAAGGCTGAAGAGTTGCAAGTGCACAATCCCACACTGATTAATGAGTAATTTCCTTAAAAAACAAATATGACCTGAGACAGAGGAAGAGGAGCTGACCAGGGAGTCTAGAGATCTGGGATTTGGTCCACTTTGACCTTGGGCAAAGTAATTTATAAAATAAGAGAACTGACCACATCAGTGATTTCAGAACTGGGTTTCCCATTAGAGTCATTGGAGATGTTAACAATGCAGATTCATGGGCTCTATCCCATCCTTACTGAATCATTATCTTACTGAATATTATCTAAATATTTTCATACTTACTGAATCATTATGTCCATGAGGTGACATCAGAGCACCCACACTTTCATCAAGCTTCCCCAATACTTTTATAAAGGAAACCTATTACAGGGCCATTGGCCAATGGTTGGAAATAACTGAATTAGATGATCTCTAGCAATTTTACATTTTTCACATTCTGTAATCGTTCACGATTTTTTGTAAGTATGCCTAAGTGGAGGCTTAATAAGGACTGGTTTACTGGTTGATCAAAAAGCACCTGAGTTGGTAATTATTTCTGAAACAGTGAAGCCAGACATGCCGAAAATTAACCTTGACTTTCACAACTAGATGAATAAATGCCTTAGTGAGATAGACGTGGTTCTCATCATCGTTATGTAGCTCCCAGGCTGGTATCTTGCAAAAAGAGTGTTCAGCTAGTGTATTTTAGATGCACCTATTACCCTGCAAAGAGTGTAGCTGTAGTTGGCTAATTAAGGCGCTATTTACCAGTTGAATAAGAAATGTCAGTATGTACCTTGCTTTACAAGCACCTAATCTTAATCAGACCTTCACTGAGCTATTTCAAAAGCCCTGAGCTTCTCTGGTGAAAAAATCCCAGAGAAGAAAAGGAGGCAAGGTGAGACTATAGAGTAATAAGATGACTTATTAAAAATAAATAAATAAATAAATAAGCACATTACAACCTCACACCTAAATTATGTCGTACTAAATCAGCAATATTTAATCTATGGAACCTAAGAGTTCTGTGAAGAATCTTCAGTAGTTTTTAAACATATGATTTTAAAAATGACAGGATAGTTTAAATATTGCACAAAACACACACTAAAATATATTAGTTATCACACATTAATACTGAAACCACCAACACTTCAGCTTAGTATCATGAAGCTTGTGCATCTTCCTGTAGACTTCAGAATAATGCTTCTTTCACTTTTACATACTTGAACTTCCGAATGTATCCCTGATGGTGAACACATTGAATTAAATTTCACATATTCAATTGGCTAAACTTTTACAATCTAGAAAACTACTATAGCATAGAGTGCCTTGCTCAGTGAAATGCCAAGGAAGGCTCAGAACATGCACACATCACAGTATAGAGTGTGCACAGTATAGAGATGCACACATCACGGTATAGAGACGCCCAACCTAGAGTCTCTGAGCCTGTCGCTGTATAGGTATTGGCATGTTGACTCTGAAGGTTGTCATATCATTGGAGCTCTATCTGGAGATAGAGCATAGATCCTCACTGATCTTAGATCAATCCCAAAACCTGGGGCCTCCTTTATATTAGTCATTCATTAAAGATTTTATTTGAAAAGAAATTATACTGCTACTAAAATATTTTGAAAATGACTGTTCTAAATGTTACTAAATATTTTTAATGTTTTAAAAAATTTTCATTGCTTTCAGAGACAAATTATTTCAGCATTCTAAGGCTATATTTAAGTTAATCAACAGCCTGACTTTCTTTTAAAGAGGGGATTCATCCTGAAAGTTTGATAGATAAGAGCCTTTGAAG
Organism: Homo sapiens; assembly: GCF_000001405.40. Classification (NCBI taxonomy): domain Eukaryota; kingdom Metazoa; phylum Chordata; class Mammalia; order Primates; family Hominidae; genus Homo; species Homo sapiens. Next base: position 52,320,692 of record NC_000018.10, on the reverse strand, counting down.
GTATTTTAAAAAATATGCCACAAGTTCTACAGGCAGTCTCCAGAGGTAGTTCCAAAGTGGTTCTAAAAAACGGCAATATGGGTGAAATAAAACCCCCATCACCATTATTTTAAAAGAAAATATAATGATATGGACAGTAAGTGAATTTTGCTTATAAGAATCTGGAGTGAAGTATGTCTATTTATACCAGTTGGGTTATCTTGTACAATTACTCAATCTCTTTGAATTTACATTTCCTTAAATATTGTTGTAAGAATTAAATGCAGTAATACATGTGAAGAGGCTTTGTGAGTTAAAATGTGCTGCACAAAATTATATTGTTGTTAAAAAATATTAAGATAATAGTACACATGGGAGTGTATTAACAATAGAATATTTGATGGAAAATAATTTATCACCTTTTTTTGATAGTTATATTACATGGGTTGAGTTTGAGTTCCCCCCTAGATGTTCCTTTTAAAAACACAAGATGGAGTTTAACCAAGAGGATTCTGTGTATGATGAAGGGACAGGAAGAGGATGAAAAGAGAGGGGAGGTGTGGATTAACCACAGGGCCCATCTTTGGCAGTTTCAGAACCCCTAGAGCTGCAGTTAGTATTGTCTCAGCAGACAGACGTTAGGAGCACTGCATTTTGTTTGATTCTGAAGGTCCCAAGGTGTTCACTCACATGACCTATAATACCAGACTTCAGATGAGTAACGTTGTGCCCATTTTAAATATCCAGAGCCTGAAATTCAAACCCCTTTGGGGAAATTCTGCATTATTCTCATGAGCGGTTATTTTATATGTATGTTGCTTGCACACTAAATACAGTGTGACCCTTCTAGTTCAGACTCTGAGGAAGTCTGTGCACAGAACATGAGTGAGATTTGTACCTTAGGCAAAGTCCCCAGAGGCCACTCTCTGTGGGGCCTCAGCCTCCTTGTGGGGCCCTCACGTGTACTCCTGATAGCATCTTTTCTGGCTCTATTGTGCTAAAACTGCTAAAATGCATTTATAAATACATGCAATTTTGTCCCCCAGGGGACATTCCATGATACTCGGAGACATTTTTGTGGTACTGGCATCCGGTGGCCAGCCGTGCTGGTAAGCATTCTCCAATACACATCACAGCCCCTGGAGAGCAACAAATTATCTAGCCCAAAATGTCAGCCGTGAGGAGACTGAGAAATCCTGCTCTAAATGGAGCTTCAGTGTGTCTCTTGCCTTTGGGTCACTGAAATAAAGTATCTGTGGCCTCTAGAGTTAACTCAGGCTCCAGTGGGAAATTCTCTCTAGTGGGCCTCCAGAGCCCAGAGCTATATATCCTTTCTGCTACCCCCTCCTTGCCTGAACTCAGGAAAATTGTTCTCCCCTTAGGGCCTCTGCTCACCCATTGATTAAATAAGGATTTGGGATTAAGTGAATTTCATAAGATGTACTTCCATGTCATGGTATTCCATGAAGATGCCTCCATAGAGGATACTGCTTCCTAGGTGCCTGCTGCTACAGGTTAGTACAGGTTAGGCACTGATCCAAGTACTGTGCAGGTATTAATTTATTCAACCTCTAGATTGTCATGAGGTTGGGACTATTATCCTGTCTGTGATGTAGATAAGTAGTTACCCAAGTTTACCACCTACTTTATAGGTGGCAGAACCAGGTATTCCAGTAAGTAATTCTGGAAGTAACTGACATACACATGCCCTCTCAGGAGACAGAGAACCCAGGAAGAAACCCAGCAGATCAGAGGGGCTATTGGAAGAACAAAAGCCCCTCATATCTGCTTTCTCTGAAACAAGGCTGCTTTTATCTTTTTTTTTTTTCCTGAAATTCCATGTATGCACATGTGTGTGTTTAGCATGAATGAAATTTGTTGAGCTATATTTTTCAAAACCACTATATATGTGATGCCTGAGCTTTTTTTTTCCATTTTTGATATTTTATTATTTGAATTATCCAAAATGGCTAACTTAAAAATAAAATCTCTCTTAAAGAATGAATAATGATGAAAAGAATAATTCTCTACTAATGTGGCAATGAAAATAACTAGATTTTATTACATTCACATTAACAAAGACGATTTTGGATTCATAATGACTTTTCCCTGAAAAAGTGTAAAACACATAATCAATTTAAGAACAGCCTATCTTAGAAAAATACAAATTTATGAAACTATTGAATCTGGGACTGAATACCTGTGTTTCAAATGGAGTCCTTGCAACACAGACTCACTACAAGGTTCTTTTAAATTTTGAGTTCTCTAGTGCATTTAAAATTGATTCGATTTACAAAACTTCAATGTATACTTGACTTTTCAGAGCTCATCTATGGCACACAATGGAAAACACCTTCAGAAGCTCGTTTATCCTCCCAATATCCCAATTTCTCCAAAAGCATTATTTTCCACATGTTTAAGAGAAACATAGAAAGATAATACGGCATCTTTTGTAAGCAGAGAACCAAATGAATGCTGTTTGATGAGAACGATTCACAGTAATGATGATGATCACAGTGATGACAATGGTAAATGTGAACTGTCCATGGTCCAAGAATTGGAGCTAATAACTTTTTATTTGCAGAATAGAGATATATTTTATTATAACCAGCTACCATCATGGTAGCTGAGTACTATAAATGGTGTACCCCTTTTCGGTTTTCATCACATTATATCAAGACCTCACCAACAATAAAAATAATCATATTAATACATTCAAAAATTAAGTATGGCAATTTTACTGTGATTGACTGTGGCAGCCTCTACTGGTTATTTACTCAGTAGCCTTTAATTCCTCCCCACACAAGGTTGGGGAGTGGGCACATAGAGGAATTTGTCCAGGTTGGCAGGGGCTCATACAGGAATTTCTTTGCTTTCTCTATTGGCAGAGGAATTTCTTTGCTTCCCCTATTTCCCTTGTAGCCAGATCACAGGCAAAGACCCAATACATCAAGAGCAATCTGCTAGAGGTATGGGAAGGAAATTCTCCCCTCTCCTTTAGATATAGTTGTGTACAAGTAGGAAGACTTGGGCCACAGACATTTTATGAAAATAGTGAAATTAGTCAAATAATAACCACCACCATGTTGAGAGGTATAGGCTACAGAAACAGAAAATACTTAAGTGAACCAAATATTTGTAAGGAAGGAGTATAGAAAGAAAAAGAGCTTAATACCCAGCATTATTCCAAATGGTTGATACTAAATACGTATGTTGTGGGATAGTTTATTATTAATGTTACCAGTTTTCTTCTCTGGGTATTGAGTACCAGAAAGGAAGGAATTATGACTTTTTGATCCTTGTATCCATAGAATCAAAAACAGTACCTGCAACACCATAAATATACAATACATGGATATTAAGGAAACATCCAATCAAAAGCAGAGGGAAATCATGCATTGAACCAATTCCTTCAAGTGATTAATTCCTCACATTTTACCAATTCCTTTTGTTGGTCAGTGAGAAAAACAGAATGACAAAATTAAAGGTAAGCTAAGGCATTGTAAATGTTTTTCAGCGCTTCTGTCAATAGGCAATATATTAAACAAGTAGAGTTGAAAAATCAGCCTTAAGTTCTCCTGCTAACTTTGGTATTTCCAATCATGTGATATGCAGCATGCCATGCCTGCTGCCTCAGATTCTTAACTGGTCAAAGAGAATGATGGCACTCAGGATTGTTATAAGCATCAAAGGAGAGATAACATGCATGAAAACATTCTACAATCTGTACATCTCAATGAAAAAAGTCTCACTAATGTAACAGGATAAGAAGTTAAACCTATTTTAGTACAAAACTCAACTTGTTTTGCTTTTTTATTTTTGCATTAGACTCATTCTTACATTCTGGTACAGAGGGTGAATTATCCTCACAACCAGGACAGAATAAAAGCTATTTGGTTTTATAAACTGAGTCTTCTCCATCCTTGAGGAAGGTTATTAATATTTTTCTCACTGCTGGATGAGTTGGCCTCCATTGGCCAGCTGAGAGACTTTCCCTTGTGCTAGGAGAGGCAATATGAGAGACAGAGAGACCTAGGCTTTTCACACCAGGAATATATGGTGTGGGAATAGGAAAAGTGGTGAGGCTGGGGAGCATGGAAGAAAGATGTAGAGAACTGTGAATTCCAGGGATTCCAATCAAGGAGGTGGTCATGGAGCGGGCCCGGGCATGGAGGTTACCTGATGGATACAGACCACAGCAGCTGACTTAATTCATATTATTAGAAACTGCTTTTGGGCTGCAACTATGATCTGTGCCAACCAATTGCTCTTTATATGAAAGGATCTTGCATTGCTAGGGCCTAATGTACTCATTAGCTACTGGCAAGGAGGCGAAATGCCAGGAACCTGACAGTACTTGACTCTTCTCTTGCTAAGCAACTCTGTGGACACTAGCCTCAAGCACCTCATGGTACACTGGTAAGACCAATGTGAATCTCAGCCATCTAGAAAACTGTTAAAGAGGAGAAACCAACTCCTCTGTAACATGTCAGGAATTGAACTGAATATACCAGAGCTGTGTCAATGGAGAATGCTTACTACCATTATATTAATGTTCTACTCTCAAATTCAATCTTTAATATATAAAACTGTAGGTCAGTGTGAAAAGGGCTTTAAAAAATAACAGCAGTCAAAGCTGGAGGCATCATGCTACCTGACTTCAAACTATACTACAAGGCTACAGTAACCAAAACAGCATGGTACTGGTACCAAAACAGAGATACAGACCAATGGAACAGAACAGAGGCCTCAGAAATAACACCACACATCTACAACCATCTGATCTTTGACAAACCTGACAAAAACAAGCAATAGAGAAAGGATTCCCTATTTAATAAATGGTGTTGGGAAAACTGGCTAGCCATATGTAGAAAGCAGAAACTGGATCCCTTCCTTACACCGTATACAAAAAGTAACTAAAGATGGATTAAAGACTTAAATGTAAGACTTAACACCAAAAAGACCCTAGAAGAAAACCTAGGCAATACCATTCAGGACATAGGCATGGGCAAAGACTTCATGACTAAAATACCAAAAGCAATGGCAACAAAAGCCAAAATAGACAAATAGGATCTAATTAAACTAAAGAGCTTCTGCAAAGCCAAAGAAACTATCATCACAGTGAACACGCAACCTACAGAATGGGAGAAAATCTTTGCAATCTACCCATCCGACAAAGGGCTAATATCCAGAATCCACAAAGAACTTAAACAAATGTACAAGAAAAAAACAAACAACCCCATCAAAAAGTGGGCAAAGGATATGAACAGACACTTCTCAAAAGAAGACATATATGCAGCCAACAGACATATGAAAAAAATGATCATCATCACTGGTCATCAGAGAAATGCAAATAAAAACCACAGTGAGATACCATCTCATGCCAGTTAGAATGGCAATCATTAAAACGTCAGGAAATGACAGATGCTGGAGAGGATATGGAGAAATAGGAACACTTTTACACTGTTGGTGGGAGTGTAAATTAGTTCAACCATTGTGGAAGACAGTGTGGCAATTTCTCAAGGATGTAGAACTAGAAATACCATTTGACCCAGTGATCCCATTACTGGGTATATACCCAAAGGATTATAAATCATGCTCCTATAAAGACACATGCACACGTATGTTTATTGTGGCGCTATTCACAATAGCAAAGACTTGGAACCAACCCAAATGTCCATCATTGATAGACTGGATTAAGAAAATGTGGAACAGGCCGGGCACGGTGGCTCACGCCTGTAATCCCAGCACTTTGGGAGGCCGAGGCAGGTGGATCACAAGGTCAGAAGATCAAGACCATCCTGGCTAAAACGGTGAAATCTCGTCTGTACAAAAAATACAAAAAATTAGCTGAGCATGGTGGCAGGTGCCTGTAGTCCCAGCTGCTCAGGAGGCTGAGGCAAGAGAATGGCATGAACCCAGGAGGTGGAGCTTGCAGTGAGCCGAGATCACGCCACTGCACTCCAGCCTGGGCAACAGAGTGAGACTCTATTTCCAAAAAAAAAAAGGAAAATGTGGCACATATTCACCATGGAATATTATGCAGCCATAAAAAAGGATGAGTTCATGTCCTTTGCAGGGACATGGATGAAGCTGGAAACCGTCATTCTAAGCAAACTATCACAAGGACAGAAAGCCAAACACTGCATGTTGTCACTCACAGGTGGGAGTTGAATAACAAGAACACATGGACACAGGGTGGGGAATATCATACACCAGGGCCTGTCGGGGTGTGGGGGGCTGGGGAAGGGATAGCAGTAGGAGAAATACCTAATGTAAATGATGACTTGATGGGTGCAGCAAACCAACGTGGCACATGTATACCTATGTAACAAACCTGCACATTGTGCACATGTACCCTAGAACTTAAAGTATAATAAAAAAAATAAAATAAAATAAAGGCTAAAAAAAACAGCAGTCCTAGTGTCTTATTTTTATTAATTTTCCAAGACCTTATTGCACTTAAAGTGAGTATCAAATAATTTAGCAGTGAGCCCTTCTTTGTTGGTTATTACTTTCACAGTCTCTGCCATTCATCTCTTTGCTGTTGTTTCTACAGGCACCACCAAAGGCCTTACCTTAGCTCCAACATGAATCCATGGCCTAAAACTGATCTTGCTTCCAAAATGCCTTCTGTTTTAGTGGACTTTACACATAGAAACTAGATTAGCATTTCCAATGTCTATCTAAGATTGTGCCTCTCCTTTCTGATTTTTTTTAATATCTTCTTGCTACCAGAATTAAGTTCAAATTACTTATATGCTTATCTCTTAGTTTCCTCATTTTTATTCCCCTTCACATTCCTTAGTCTTTGGCCAAAGCCTGTGGCTTGGTTCCCTTAATTTTTCCTGTGTAGTAGCACCTTTAAGTCACTGCTCATACTTTTCCTGCTGCCTGGAATTCTCTAATCACCTATCTAAATCTGTTGAAATTCCACCCTTCTTTTATAACCCACTGAATTGCTACCTTATTCTTTAAGATTTTTCCTTGGCACATTCTAGCCATGTCTTTGTTCATAGTTAGAAACCATATGGCCAGGTCATGAAGTCCTTGGGACACAGAGTGTATGTTCAAAATCATTTATTAAAGAAAAGAACTTTGCTATCTTAACTTCTAAACTGTACATTGGGGCCAAAGTCCATGTCGTTTTAACAATTCCAAGCCATCCCTTCCTCACAGCATCTGGCTTAGAGGCTTTTGCTCAGTGAGAGTTCAGTAACTCTCACTTGAGGAAGGTTGGTCTGTTTCTTCATCCCTCCCCTAACATTTATCACAGAGCATTCCACAGGACTGGTGTTCATTCAGTAAATACTTGTTCCAACCAGGTGACTCATTGTCATCCAGTTAATCGAACTAGTGCTTCTAAGAAAAACAAAACAAAACAAAAAAGCCATACTAAAAGATGTGGTGATTCAGGTAGGACAAAAGCAATATAATTAATGACATTTTTCAGTCTAGGAAGCTTCTTTCACAGGTGTGGTCACCTTCAGAAAGATTGCTCTCTGGATGTGTCCAGACACTGAGCTATACACCCACCAAACAGTGGCTGGGCCTGATGGCTTGTCATATAGAACAGGATGACAATTTCTTTTTAAATCTACTGTTTTCCCCAGCTTGTCACAGATTCATATGAAGCATCTGTTCTTTAGAAAACAGTGTGGCCTAATCCCAGGTACTTACAATCTTTTTAGAAATTTAGATGTTTCTGTTCATCCTTCTCAACTACTTTTCCAGGTATTTTCTACCATTTCCTGTTCTATATTAATGAGTCCCACCTCCACGGCTATTGTTTAATTAAGAAACTCCCATTTTTTCAGCCTTTAGGGACTGCACAATTCCAATATCGATTCTTCAGCTGTAATAGTTGCAACAAAATAACAAGTCAATCCCTTAAAAACTCTGGGATGCAAGCCATCAGGCTCCACGATTTGGATTTGAATACGTTCATTTGTTTCTTCTTGTCTCTGTTGCTTTCCTCTCCCAGGGTAGTGAGTATTCATCCATAAATTCTGATGAGCTGAATATAGCAAATTTCAGGATCCCATTTCACCTTCAAGGCAAGGCTCAAGAATAGAAGGTATTTTAATGAGTTTGCTTTGTAAATTTTCAAATAAGTGTCTGTATGTTTGTATGAGGATATTTAGCTCTTTGGTTTTCATTTTAATTGCCCACTTAGCAGGACAATCAATAATCCTGAAAGGGTGACTCACTAACCACATAGAGAGATTATTTTACACCTCATTTCCTTCTGCAGCCCTTTGCTACAATAGAGACTGTGGTTAGTTTTTGTTGTTAAGTCTTCAAGTGTCTGAATAAATCCATCTAGGCACATAAGGCATTATATAAAATAAACACTGTAATTATATTCACATATGGGAAGGTACACACATATTGAGAGCTATTTCATAGCAATTATTTTGTAGTTGATTGATCTTGACATGAATATTGAAGAAAATAGTGTGGACCCCAGAGGCATTAATTTGGGAAACAGATGTTATGATGTCATGATATTAATATATTATGTAATACTTGATAGGAGAACACTTAGAAAAAAAAACTGAGGGGATTAATTACTTTTCTGAATTACTTCAGAAAAAAATCACTGTGGTTTCAATCTTTGCTCATAAAAGATGATCCCATGGTTTTGACAGAATTGATCTGTCTTTTCCAAATCATTTAATGGTTTATAACTAGTTTATTAAATCAATACATTATTCCTTTATGGAAATAGTTTTTGTCTAAAGGTACAATGTAAGCTGATGGCATGACATGAGGATTTATGCAGGAATTTCATGAGAAACAAGATATTAAGAAGGATGAGAGTCCACGCTGAAATGTAGGCAGTGACGAATGCTTGAAATTCTGTAAGGAATCACATGTATATATGACTTACTTCTCTTTAAGTGTCATTGAGTCATATCAGAAACCTGAAAATAATCAATTCTGTGTATACCAAAACTTAGTTGACACATTCTTTTGTAAAACATTGAAATAAGTTATCCAATAACCATTTCCACTGCTATTTTTTCCTTTCTAATTGGACTGATTTTTTTTTTTTTTTTTTTTTTTTTTGTCTCTGCAACAAAGCTTTTGCCTCTTTGGTGCTAAGGCCTTAGGAGTGTTGATTGTTCAAAGCCCTCACACCTATTCCCATAAACTTTGCTTTGGTGCAAGCATGGGCATGCTATAGAATCCTGGCAAAATAATTCATTCAACTAATATTTGCTGAGCACTGCAATGTACCATCCACTGCTCCGGGTGCTGGGCAGACTGCAGTGAATAAAAGAGACAAACAAATTCCAGCCCTCATGGGATCAAGAAGAACACAAGGGAGGGACAGTTGTTTTTTTTCTTAAGGATGTTGGCGTAGCTGCACCTGACATCAGTAACAGTTGCAGCCATCTCGAGGCTACAAAGATAGACTGAAGATGAAACAGAACACTAAGGATGGCGACAAGAAAAAAAAAAAAAAAGGCAGAAAGATTCTGAGTCCCAGATGACATAACTATGCCTCAAAACTAACCAACCCTGAAGTCAGCTTTCTGGACAAAATATGAATGTAGTGTTGCATTCTTCAAAAAGATGGGTCTAAATCCTGACCCTGGGTACCTGTGAATGTGACCTTATTTGGAAATAGAGTCTGCAGATGTAATTAAGGCAAAAGTCTTGAAATGACTTTTGCCTGGATTTAAGGTGGGCCCTACATTTTAATAACTGGCATCCTCATTAAGAGAAAGGAGAGAGATATTTGACATACACAGTGGGGAAGACCATGAGAAGACACAAGGAAGGTCATGTGACAACAGAAGCTGAAGGTGGAGTGATGTTTCTGCAAGCTGAGGAATACCAAGAGCTGCCTGCAGCCACAAGAATGTGGGAGGGAGGCATAGAACTAGTTCCCCTCAGAGCCTCCAGCAGGAATCAGCACTGTAGCACCTCGATTTCGGACTTCTGACCTCCTGAACTGTGAAAGAATAAACTGATGTTGTTTGAAGACACCCAGTTAGTGGTAATTTGTTGCAGCAGCCCAAGGAAACACATCTGATGATATTATTTAATTTCCTTAATATTTTAAGCCACTCTGCCACCTCCTGATAGTCTCAACACAGAGAAGCCAGATCAAATTGTAAAACTCCCTCCTTGAAGCCCCCAAATAGCCTCTCTTGTCAGTCATGTGAAAAGCCCAAGGTCCTTTTGCTGGCTTATGGGACCTACCATGATCCAGCCCCAGACGTAATCTCTCCACATCCCTCCTCCTGCTTCCCCCTGCAGCTGCCAGTCCGGCTCCCGAGTTGCTCCTTGAACACCCCAGCATATCTTCATTTCAGGAGATCACATACTGGTAAAAACTTCTACTTGCCATCCAATTTCCCCAAGTATCTCCATAATTTTCTTCCTCATCTCCTTTAAAGTTTTTGTTCAAATTTCCCCTTATCAGTGAGACCTACTGATGACTACCACTACTATTACTACTGACTACACTGATTACTCTACTGAAAATAGCAAATGGACCCCCGACTCTGCTGTGCCAGAGGGACTGATGCCTCTTGCCCCCATTCAATCTTTCCATTGTTTTCCATAGCACTTAAAATCTTCTAGCATACTCTGAATTTCACTACTTTATTTTGCATATTATTTACTGTCTGCCTTTTCCATTACTAAAATATAAACTCTAAAGCAGCAATTTGGGAAACATCAATTTCCCATATAAAGATTCCTGTAGAAATCTATATACATATAGATCTATATCTATATATATATATATAGAAATATATATAGAAATATATATGTAGAAATATATATAGAGAAATATATATATAGAAATATATATAGAAATATATATATAGAAATATATATAGAAATATATATATAGAAATATATATAGAAATATATATATAGAAATATATATAGAAATATATATATAGAAATATATATAGAAATATATATATAGAAATATATATAGAAATATATATAGAAATATATAGAGAGAAATATATATAGAGAAATATATATAGAAATATATATAGAGAGAAATATATATATATATAGATTTCTACAGGAATCTTTATATGGGAAATTGATGTTTCCCAAATTTTCTATATATATAGAGAGAGAGATAAATATATATATATAGATCTCTATATATATAGAAATATATAGAGATCTATATATATAGAAATATATATATAGATCTCTACATATATAGAATATATATATATAGATCTCTCTCTCTCTCTCTCTCTCTCTATATATATATATATATATAGATTTCTACAGGAATCTTTATATGGGAAATTGATGTATCCCCAATACCTAGAAGGGTACTTAACCCCTACAAGAGGCTCAGTTAAATAGTATTTTAATTAAATATATATATATATATATATATATATATATACTTTTAGCCTAAATAATCACCTAAATGGTCTCAACTAATATGCAACAGCATTATAATATTTGCAATTATATATAAGTATTATATATAAGTATATATAAGTATTTATTGCTCCCATAATGTTCCTCTCCAATTTCCTCTCATCTCTTCTCATAAATTTTGCATTATGAAGTTATGCGGCTGCATGATAAATTAGCATATCTCAATTTTTCCTTTACAATCAGGTAGGAAATAAACCAGTGCCACACTAATTCTGGTGCAACTTTCTGTTTGTTTTTCTTTTCTTTCTACTTCACGAGTATGACTTCTGAACCATTCCCTACATCATGATGTTGCATCAGAGTCAAGTTGTTCAAATACGTAACATAAAAATTCTTAATTAGGTCCTTCTTAACACCTTTTTCTTCTCATTTTTCATCTCACATTTGAAGAGAGTGGGCTTTTCTAAAACAATTGGTGCCCAATTGTTTCATTTTTATGGGTTTGCTAGAAACAGGCAATATTGCCCCTGCTTTGGAGTCTTCTGGGTCTGTCCATGTGTCTGGAATCCATTTATTATTGTCCTTCAGAGATGTGGCTCCAACAGTAATCCATAACCAAAACTTAAGTTTTAAATAATTTCCAGAAGTCTGATGGTGTTGTCTTGTGTCTTGATGTGAATGTGCACATCCCTTCTAAGGACAGTTTAGTCCTCGGTATGTCCAGGTGCATCAAAATAGGAAACCTGTTTTGTAACACGGCATTACTTTTTCTTTGGAGGACTGTATGTGCTTTAGGCCGCATCCCTCAAGATGGATGAGATCAAAAAGGTCTGGAAAAAGAGTGGTGAAAATTGTTAGAGATGGGGAATAGAATGGAATTTAAAAAGTGAGGATCCTGGTAAAATAGCAACATTTACTAGAATAAATAGATGTGTTAAAAAAAGAATCACTTGTGACACAAAAATTTGCTTATAATATTCTGGTTTATAATGTTTTCTTCCGCCCTGCATTTATTGTTGACAGATATTTCCTAATGCACAAGCATACTCAATATGAGCTCTCTTCATGTTTTTTTTTTTTTCTCTAGGTCACGTCAACACATCCTAGGAGAGTTTTACTTTAATCAGCATGATCAAAACTTAATCCCTAAAGAATCTCTCTACTTCCCAAGTAAAATTTGTCTGCAGTAAAGAATAGTACTGATTATAGTCCTTCGTTTCAATTTTTCTTCAGCTTTTGGCTGAAAAAGTAAAATGAAGGACTATAATCAGTACTATTGTAAAACTGACAAATGTTATTTTATACATTTAAAGTATATATATGACTATTCGATATATGTACATAAACATATCAAGCTAATTAACACAGTGTTATGAACGGTAGTCACCAGACTGTATGTTAGATCATCAGAACATATTCATCTTATAACTGAAAATTTGACATCTTTTACCAATATCGTCCCACTTCTTTCATCTCCCAGGCCCTGGCAATCATCTTTCTACTCTCTGGTTCTATGAGTGGGACTATATTTTTTTTAAGATTCCACATATAAGTGACACAATACAATAACATCCAGGTTATTTCATTTAGCATAATGTCCTCTAGTTTCATTTTCTGGGCAGAAGCTTTTTCAGTTGAGGTAGTCCCAAGTGTTTACTTCTGCTTTTATTGCCTGTGCTTCTGGTGTCATACCCAAAAATTCACTGCCAAGACCAACCTTAAAGAGCTTTCCCTAAATTTTCTTCTATAAATTTTATAGTACTAGGTATTACATTTAAGTCTATAATCCGTTTCTGGTTCATTTCTGTATGTGGTATAATATAGGAGTGTAGTTCCTTTTCTTTTTTTTTAATTTTTTTTACTATACTTTAAGTTTTAGGGTACATATGCACAACGTGCAGGTTTGTTACATATGTATACATGTGCCATGTTGGTGTGCTGCACCCATTAACTCATCACTTACATTAGGTATATCTCCTAATGCTATCCCTCCCTCCTCCCCCCACTCCATGATAGGCCCCGGTGTGTGATGTTCCTCTTCCTGTGTTCAAGTGTTCTCATGCTCAATTCCCACCTATGAGTGAGAACATGCGGTGTTTGTTTTTTTGTCCTTGCGATAGTTTGCTGAGAATGATGGTTTCCAGCTTCATCCATGTCCCTACAAAGGACATGAACTCATCCTTTTTTATGGCTGCATAGTATTCCATGGTGTATATGTGCCACATTTTCTTAATCCATCCTATCATTGTTGGACATTTGGGTTGGTTCCAAGTCTTTGCTTTTCTTTTTCTTTTTTGTCATGTGGATGTATAGTTTTCCCAACATCATTTATTAGAGAGACTATCCTTTTGTCACTGTGCATTCTTGGCACCCTTGGTTTTATTTCTGGGCTCTCTATGCTGTTCTATTGCTCTAATGTCTATTTTTATGCCATGATCCTATTTTAATAACTATAGCTTTGTGATACAGTTGCATGAAGCATGATGCCTTCAGCTTTATTCTTCTCAAGATTGCTTGTATTTATAGAGTCTTATGGTTCCATATGAATTTTACGATTTTCTTTTTTTTTTTCTTTTTGAGATGGAGTCTCACTCTGTAGCTCAGGCTGGAGTGTGGTGGCATGATCTCAGCTCCACCTCTCAGGTTCAAGTGATTCTCCCATCTCAGCCTCTCAAGTAGCTGGGAGTACAGGTGCGTGCCACCTTGCCCAGCTAATTTTTCGTATTTTTAGTAGAGATGGGGTTTCACCATGTTGGCCAGGCTCTTCTCAAACTCCCTACCTCAAGTCATACTCCCACTTCAGCCTCCCAAAATGCTGTGATTACAGGTATGAACCACCATGCCGGACCAAATTTCCTTTTCATTTCTGTGAAAAATGCCATTGAAATTTTCATAGGGACTGCATTGAATATGTAGATCACGTTGGGCAGTGTATTACTTAGGGTTCTCTAGAGGGACAGAACTAATAGGTAATATACATGTATGTGAGTTTCTTAACTATCAACTTACATGGTTACAAGGTCCCACAATAGGCTGTCTGCAAATTTGAGGAGCAAGGAGAGCCAGTCCGAGTCTCAAAACTGAAGAACCTGGAGTCCGATGTTCGAGGGCGGGAAGCATCCAGCATGGAGAAAGATGTAGGCTAGGAGACTAGGCCAGTCTCTCCTTTTCATATTTGTCTCCTGCTTTATAATGACTGGAAGTTGATTAGATGGTGTCCCCCAGATTAAGGGTGGGTCTGCCTTCCCCAGCCCACTGATTCAGATGTTAATCTCCTTTGGCAACACCCTCACAGACACACCAGGATTAATACTTTGTATCCCTCAGTCCAATCAAGTTGACACTCAGTATTAACCATCACAGATAATATGGATATTTTTATAATATTTATTCTCTCAATCCCAAAACAATGATATGTTTTCATTTATTTTTGTCTTCTTCAGCTTCTTTCATCAATGCTTTACAACTTTCAGTACACAGATCTTTCACCTCCTTGGTTAAATTTATCCTAAGTGTTTTATTGTTTCTGATGCTACCGTAGATGGTCTTGCTTTCTTAATTTCTCTTTTAGATATTGGGTTATTAATGTATAGAGATGCAACTCATTTAGTATGTTAATTTCGTATCCTACAAGTTTACTATATTTATTTGTGATAATTTTTTGTGTGTGGATGCTTTAGTATTTTCTGTATATAGAATCATGTCATCTGCAAACAGAGATAATTTTACTTTTTTTTCTGATCTGGATGCCTTTTATTTCTTTCTCTTTTTTTGCCTAATTGTTCTGGTAAATGCTTACATCTCAGGGAAATATCACATTGGTTATGGTGAATTATCCTCTTAATATGTTGTTGAGTTTATTTTGCTACTATTTTGTTGAGGATATTTGCATCTATTCATTAGAATTATTGACCTGTAATTTTCTTTTCTCATAGTGCCCTTATTTGCTTTTGGTGTCAGGATAATATTGGCCTTGTAAAACAAGTTTGGAAGTGTTTCCTCTTCTTCAATTTTTTTGGGAAAGTTTGAGAAGGATTGGCATTTCTTTTTAAATATTTCGGAGAAACCACTCATGAAGTAATCTGGTCCTGGACTTTTCTATGTTGGAAGATATTTGATTACTAATTCAATCTCCTGAATTCTTATAGGTCTATTCAGATTTTCTATTTCTTTCTGATTCAGTTTTGGCAGGGTGTGTGTTTTAAGGAATTTATTCATTTCTTCTACATTATCTAATTTGTTAGCTGTAATTGCACATAGTAGTTTTTATAATTATTTTTATTTCTGCAATATCAATTGTAATGTCTCCTCTTTCTGATTTATCTGAGTTTTCTCTCTTTTTTCTTAGTCTAGTTAAAGCTTTGTAGATTTTGTCTTTTCAAAAAACCAGCTCTTAGTTTTGCTAATCTTTTCTACTGCTTTTCATGTCTGTATTTCCTTTGCTTCTGTTCTGGATCTTTGTTATTTTCTTTTTTCTGCTGGCTTTGGGCTTAGCTTTTTCTTCTTTTTCTAGTTCCTTGAGGTATAAAGGCTACATCCCAAATATTTTGATATGTTGTGTTTCCATTTTCATGTGTCTCAACATTTTTTTGTCTTTTGATTCCTTCTTTGACCCATTAATTATTCAAGAGTGTGATGATTGATTTCCACTTATTTGTAAATTTTCTAGCTTTCCTCCTATTATTGATTTCTAGTTTCATATCATTGTGGTTGGGAGACATATTTGATATGTTCTAATATTTAAAAATTCTAAATACTTGTTTTGTGACCTAACATATGATCAGTCCTGGAGAATTTTCTGCATGCACTTCGGAAAAATGTGCATTCTACTGCTGTTGGATTAAATGTTCTGTGTATGTTTATTAAGTTGATTTGGTCTAAAGTGTAACTGAAGTCCAGGGTTCCTTATTGATTTCATATCTGGATGATCTATCTATTGCTGAAAGTAAGATATTACAGTATCCTAGTGTTATTGTGTTGGTGTCTATTTCTACATTCAGATTTGTTAATATTTGCATATTATATTTAAATGTTCCAAGTTTAGGTGCATATATATTTAAAATTGTTATATTCTCTTGAATTGACCCCTTTATCTTTATATTATAATTTTCTTTGTCTCTTTTTATATTTTTTTTTAAAGCCTATTATAGTTGATATAAGTATAGCTGCCCCTGTTCTCTTTTGCTTTCCAATGACAAGGAATATCTTTCTTCCATCCTTCACTTTCAGCCTATCCATGTCTTTAAAGCTGAAGAAAGTCTCTTGTAGGCAGAAAATAGTTAAGTCTTGTTCTTTTATCCATTCTGACACTCTGTCTTTGATTGGAGAATTTAATCAATTTACCTTAAAAGTAATTACTGATAGGTAAGAACTTACTAGTCCCATTATCTTCATTGCTTTCTGGCTGCTTTGTATTTATTTGTTTTTTTTCTTCATCTCTTGCTACATCTTCCTTTGTGATTTGAATATTTTTCCATATTGATATGCTTTGATTACTTTGTCTTTATCTTCTATGTGTAACTACAGGTTTTTGCTTTGTGTGGTTACCATGGGACTTACAAAAATAATTTAACAGTCTATTTTATGCTAATAAAATAACTTTGATTATGTATAAAAACTCTGTCCTTTAACCTTACCCCCATTTATGTTTTTGATGTTGCTATTTACAATTTTTATATTGTGTATTCATTATGTAATTATTTTAGTTATAATTTTTCCAATAAATTTGTTTTTAGCCTTTATGCTAGAGTTATGTGATTTATATATCACCAAGACATTATTAGGGTATGCTGAATTTGAATATACATTTTCCTTACCAGTGAGTTTTATACTTTCACATATTTACATGTTACTAATTTGTATCATTTTGTTTCAGCTTGAAGAAATTCCTTCAGGATTTCTTCAAGGCAATTCCAGTGGTGATGAGGTCTCTCAGCTTTTATTTGCCTGAAAGTTTTTATCTCTCCTTCATTTCTGAAGGGCAGATATTTTGAGCAAAATATTCTTGGTTGACAGTTTCTTTTCTCAGCACCTTGTATATGTTATCTCACTCTATCCTGGCCTGCAAGGTTTCTGCTGAGAAATCTGCTGAAATCAGTATTCCCTTGTATGAGAAGAGCTTCTTTTCTCTTGCTGCTTCACAATTCTTTGTTTTTATTTTTGACAGTTTTATTTTAATGTCCCTTGGTGAATTTCCTCTTTTAACTGGACAGAACCTCTGTATGTGACTACGTTTTATGTTTCGGATGTCCATATCTCTCTCCAGATCTGGGAAGATTTAGCCATTGTTCTATTAAATAAGCTTTTTGTTTTCTTTCTCTTTCTGTTCTCCTTTTAAAAATGTAAACTAGTACAACCACTATGGAAAACAGTGTGGATATTCTATAAACAGCTAAACGTAGAACTACTGTTTGATCCAGCAATTCCACTACTGCATCTACCCAAAGGAAAAGAAGTCATTATACACCTGGTATACATTATACACCTGGGTATATATCTACCCAGAGGAAAAGAAGTCATTATACAAAAAAGATACTTGCACATGTATGCTTCAACAAGTACAATTCACAATTGCAAAACGGTGGAACCAACCCAAATGTACGTCAATCAACAAGTGGATAAAGAAACTGTGAGACATATATATATATATATATATATATATATATATATATACACACAGACACACACACACACAATAGATATATATATATACACATATATACACACTATGGATATATATATATATATCCAACTGTGATATATATATATATATGTAATGAATATATATATATATATATATCAATTGTGTGTGTGTATATATATATATCACAGTTTCTTTATTCACTTGACTGATGAACATTTGGGTTGGTTCCATTGTGTATATATATACACAATGGATATATATATGTATATATATGTGTGTGTATATATATATAAATACAATGGATATATATGTATATATGTGTGTGTATATATATATATTTATATTTATATATACACATATATACATATATGTGTATATGTATATATACACATATGTAAATGTATATACATTTGTATATATACACACACAATGAAATACTACTCAGCCATAAAAGGAAATGAATTCATGGCATTCACAGTGACCTGGATGAGATTGGAGACTATTATTCTAAGTGAGATAACTCAGGAACGGAAAACCAAACATTGGATGTTCTCACTGATATGTGGGAACTAAGTTATGAGGATGCAAAGGCATAAGAATGATACAATGGGCTTTGGGGACTTGGGGGGAAGGGTGGGAGAGGAGCAAGGGATAAAATACTATAGGCTTTCCTCCTTATCCATGGCATCTCTGCCTATTCAGTACTGGGTGTTCTCTGGATTCCATCCAATTACCCTTCTTGGCATTCAGAATCTCATCAGCTGAGTTCCTCAACATCCACTGCTTTATTTTAGCCCTTGCAAATGAATGATTTTCACATACCCCCTACCAACCCAGACCTCTCTCCTGGATCTCCAAATCCCTATTTCCTACTGTCAATTGAATATTTTTGCTGAATGCTCTATGGACAATCAAACTCAAGCTGCTTGTTACACAAAATACATCAACTTTATGCCCACTCTCCCAACCTCTGGGGTCTTGGTATACATTTCCAGACGTGGCAAATGGCAGTCCCATTGTCCAGTCTCCCAGGGCAAGAACATGGAAGTCATTCTCAGCTGCCTCCTCTCACTGCTCTCCTCCCATCCTGTCCATACACTATGCACAGTCCACAACCATACTGTGTTTCTACAGCCTTCCTAGCTCCTGAAGTCCTGAGTCAAGGCACTAGGGAAGGAGAGGAAGGCCAAAAACAGAAAACCAGTGTCATCTCTCAAAGATACAGAAAACGTGACATTAAATAATCCAATGAAATAAGACTATGTTACAAATTTAAATATTAAAAATTAAAATAAGATATATGACAAAATGTATGTAATCACATGCCTAATATATTATTAAAATGCTTACTTCAAAATAAGCTTTTTGATTAAAAATGGAACATGATAATCAGTAATTTGTTTCACTATTAAATAATTTAAGCAAAAATAAGACTTCATAATAATACAATTATATATTTCAGTTTTTATGTTAACTAGCATGGAGAAGCCCCAATGTGAATGGAGTTGGAAATCATGAAAAATATTTGATCATCTTTTCTGATAAGGTTACACACTGACACTGAGCCAGCTGACTTCTGTTCAATAAACCTTATAACTTGAAACAAACAAGCAAACAAAAATCCCATTATGTAAATATTACTTCACAGATTATATCCCAAAATACATGTAGGTTTTCTTTACTTATTTTATTCCTCTTCATTTAGTTTCCTCTAAATGGATAATTTCAAATGATTTGCCTTTGATTTCACAAATCATTTCTTCTGCTTGATCAAGTCTGCTGTTGCTGCTTTCTATTGCATTTCTCATTTCATAATTGTATTATTAGCTCTAGACTGTTCCTTTTATATAATTCCTATTTTTTTACAAAATTCTCATTTATTGAATTTTTCTGATTTTATTGAGTTGTTTATGTTCTCTTGTAGTTTACTGAGCTTCCTTGAAATATTACTTTGAATTCTTTCTCTGGAAATTTGTACATCTCCATTTCTTTGTGGTCTGTTTTTAGATAGCTATTGTGTTCTTCTGGTGTTGTCATGTTTTCTTGATTTGTGTGTGTGTGTCTCTTTTAGTCTTGGATTAATGTCTGCATGTTTGATGGAGGAGTCACCTGTTCCAGAAATCATAGACTAGTTTTGATGGGGACATCTGTGGGTCAGTGGGAAAGCACTGGCTGGGTGAGGTGTGGTAGTTCCAGCTCCTGGGAAGGCCCAATGGCATAGCCTTCATGCAGTTCTGTCAGCTAAGATCAAATTTGGTGAAGATTGAAGCGTCCATGACCAAGGCTGCAGATGACCACAGCAGCAGTGAGAGCTGTTGGGGTCTTAAGTTATGACCCCAATCTTAAGACTGTTAAGATTCTCCTATTAGTTATTTCTTGCACAGGGGAGGTTATGGTCCTTGGTATCCCTCTTGGGGATGAGTGTTTGCAGAAAGCCTTCTGGTGGTTGTGGCACTGGTGTCTCATGTACAGGCACTCATGGAACAGTCAAGAAACTAGAGTCTGAAGCACAGGCACTCAGAACGACAGCTGCTCTGTTATCTGGGGGCACCAGCTAGTTCATAGTGGTGACTGCTTCAGTGCCTGAGATGCAGGTATGCACAGTGATATGGTTTGGCTGTGTTCCCCCCAAATTTCATCTTGAATTGTAGTTCCTATAATGCCCACATGTAGTGGGAGGGACCAGGTGGATGGCGGTTTCCTCTATCCTTTTCTTGTGATAGTGAGTTAGTTCTCATGAGATCTGACAATTTTATAACGGGCTTTCCCCTTTGCTGGGCAATTATTCTTCTCCTTGCTGCTGCCATGTGATGAAGGATGTCTTTGCTTCCCATTCTGCCACGATTATAAGTTTCCTGAGGCCTCCCCAGCCCTGCAGAACTGTGAGTCAATTAAATCTCTTACCTTTATAAATTACCTAGTCTCAGTGTTTCTTCATAGCAGCATGAGAAGAAACTAACATACACAGAGTTTTTCGGAGGCAAGTTATGAAGCACAGGTACACACATAGAGCAGCTACAGAGCTGGTTTCTGGAATGAAGGTCATTCAGAGCAGCTATGGCTCTGGGTTCAGAGTGTATGTGGAGTTGTGGCATGGGGGAGGTGGTAGCCTGTGTTCTGATGTGGTACAACAGCAGGTCCTGCTGCGGTGTGCAGCATCAACTCCATTTCCATGGGGCCCATGGCAGTGATGGCTGTTGATTACCTCAGTGATAAATGCTGCCAGTGACCTCTAAAGAGGGGGCCACTGTGGTCATTGTCAACAAACACTATGGAGTCCTCTTCTGTGAATGCTGGGGTGGTTGTCACTGGAACCATTGAAGTCTTCAGTGTCAAAGTCTCCCAGGGTTCTCTGCAGGGTGAGCAACAGAGGACCACCCAGTGGCACCCACCCCATAGCTTATATAGTTCTATCATTCTTTTTTGTTCCTAGCCATTCCACACACTGCAGGTATACCAGTCTCCCCAGTGATTCTCTCTGTGAAGTGCTCTTCTTTTTTTGCTCCACTGTGTTACTGTAAATTCTTTTTAAAATTTTAATTGATACATGATATTTTACGTATTTATGGAGTACATGTGATATTTTGTTACATGCATAGAATGTGTAATGATCAAGTCAGGGTTTTCAAATTATACATCACCTTGAGTATTTATCATTTCTTTTGTTCTTTTGTTTTAAAGAAAGGGTCTCACTCTGTCACACAGGCTGGAGTGCAGTGGCATGATAATGGCTCACTGCAGCCTCAAACTCCCTCAGCTTCTTGAGTAGCTGGGACCATAGGCATGCACCAACTTTTTTTTTTTTTTTTTTGGTAGAGATGGGGTTTCACTATGTTGACCCCAGTTGGTCTCAAACTCCTGGCCTCAAGTGATCCTCCCACCTTGGCCTCCCAAACTGCTGGGATTACAGGCATAAGCCATTGCAACTGGCCAGTATTTACCATTTCTATGTGTTGGGAACTCTCTTCTAGCTCCTTTGAAATATACAATACATTGTTGCTAACTACAGTCACCCTATTCTGATATTGAACATTAGAATTTATCCCTTCTATGAAATTGTATGTTTATAGCCCACTGACTAACCTGTCTTCATCCACTCCTCCACTCCTCCTGCCCACACACTCTGTCCAGTCTTTGATATCATTCTACTCTCACCTTCATAAGATCAACATTTTAGCTCCCATATATGACTGGGAACATGCAAAATTTGTCTGTGTCTGGCTTATTTCACTTAACATAATTAATTTCAGTTTCATCCATGTTGCTGCAAATGTCGTGATTTCATTCCTTGCTGTGGCTGAATCGTACTCCATGGTGTATGTATACCAGATTTTCTCTATGTATTCATTTGTTAGTGGATATTAGGTTGATTCCATTTCATTGCTGTTGTAAAGAGCGCTGCAGTAAACATGGAAGTGCAGGTTACCCTTTGATATAATGATTTTCCTTTATATAAATACCCAATAGTGGGATTGCTGGATATGATAGTTCTATTTTTAGTTTTTAAAGAAATCTCCATACTGTTTTTCATAGTGGCTGTAGTGAAGCGATATTCCCACCAACAGTGAATGAGAGTTTCCTTTTCTCTACTTCCTTGCCATTCTAACTGGGGTATGATGATATCTCATTGTGGCTTTGATTTGCATTTCTCTGATGATTAGTGATGTTGAGTATTCATTCATATACCTGTTAGCCATTTATATGTTTTCTTTGGAGAAATGTCTATTCATGTCCTTTGCCCACTTTTTAGTGGCATTGTTTTGTCATTATTAATATTATTAAAGATACAGGATATCACTCTGTATCTTAAAATGGCTGGAGTACAGTGGCAGCATCATAGCTCACTCTATCCTCAAACTCCTGGGTTCAAGTGACCCTTCCACCTCAGCCTCCTGAGTAGCTGGGACTCTAGGCCATGCACCACCATAGGCTACTTTTTCTATTTGTTTGTAGAGACAGGGTCTCGCTACATTGCCCAGGCTTGTCTTGAACTCCTGGGCTCAAGCAATCCTCCTGCCTCGGCCTCCTAAAGTGCTGGGATTATAGGCATGAGACATTACACCTGGCAGACTATTTGATTTTTGCACTCAAATTGTTTGAGTTTCTTGTATATTCTAGATATGAGTTTTTTTGTCTGATGAACAGCTTGCAGATATTTTCTCCCATTCAACAGGTTGCTGGTTGTTTCATTTGCTGTGCAGAAACTTTTCAGTTTAATATACTCCCATTTGTCTATTTTGGGTTTTTTTTTTTTTGTCTGTGCTTTTGAGGTCTTAGCCATAAGATCTTTGGGTAGACTAATGTCCTGAAGTGTTTTTCTTATGTTTTGTTCTAATAGTTTTATAGTTTTGGGTCTTACATTTAAGTATTTAATTCATCTTGAGTTAATTTTTTAATGTGGTGAGAAATAGCGGTACAGTTTCATTATTCTGCATATGTATATCCAATTTTTCCAGCACCATCTATTGAAGAGGGTGCTCTTTCACGAATGTAAGTTATTTGTGCCTTTGTAAGAACTATTGAGTCCTCTCAAGGCTATTTTTGTTCGTGGATAGCTGTGTGATTTTTTTGTTGGGTATTGAAGGCTGACATCTCCTACTCCGCCATCTTGCTAATGTCCTTATTTTACATGTAATGATATATCAGATTATGTGAATTTGAAGTTCTTTACAAGAATGCATTCAGGAAATATATTTGATTATACATCTCTGTGTGTGTTTCTGTATATGGATATACATATAGAGAACCAGAGAAAATTAAATAGAATGGCAACTTAACACAGAGAAATGTCTATGTAAGTGCCTGTAAGTCATCTATTACTGTATAGCTTGTATTTTTGATGAGGCATTAATGCTTGAGGGGGTGCAAAAAATCTTACTCTTTATGTATAAAGCACAGATATACATACAATACATAAACAGATATATAGTATATCTGTAGTATTAAAATTTCACGGGGAGCCATAATTGGCTAGAAAAAGTATGCCTTAAAAGGCTCCCTAGGGAGGCAATAATGGGGGAAAAAGGTTGAAAAACACTGATATATTGTAATTAGATTTAGATTACAAATGTCTGTGCTAAAAGATTCCTTTCAGTCAAAGCAAAATAGGACATGTCACAAGTGTCAAAATTCACATACTTCATAAAGCATACCAAATTCTAAGAGAAAGAATGCTTTTTTCCTAATTTTGTGTAACAGAAGGTTCCTTTGTGTACCTTTATGTTGCAAATCTTTGGTATGTTAGTTTTTCAGGAATTTTGTTTGCTTCATTTAATACAAAGTCAAAATGCCAGTGGTGGGGTCTGGGAAAGATAAAAATAAGGCAAGATAACCCATGTACACAGCTCTGGAATGGTCTGGTTGAGTCCAGAGCTAAAACAAGACATTGGAAGTGAACAAATTGCATGTTTTTCAAATGATTATCTTGTTTCTCTTCACCGCATACTTGAAAAAAATCTCAGTGACAGTCCATTTGAGTTTATATTTTATGGTGAGAGCCAGGTAGTTAGCATTGCTACACAGGTCTTCTTTTCTCAATAAACAGTTTTACTTATGTTTAATTATATATATATAATACATGCTTATAGTAAAACATCCTAACAACATAAAAAAGTATGAAAGAAAATGTCACATACTATCCCACAATTTTGAGATTATCATTAATATTTTTGTAACCACTCTTTCATTTTTATGTTTATATATACATTTTATTTATATATTCAAATATTTTAATTTCTTCCATTATGTAAAGCATTAATCACTCCCTACATATATTTATATATGTGTTTATGTGGACTAATGTATACATACACATATATACATAGATATACACATATACACACATACACACACATACACATGCACACATATATTAATGGAGTTATACATTTTATTTTAAAACATGGGCTCCTTTTTGATTGCACCCTGTTTTTTTTAAATTATCAAGTAGAGAGTAGAATAGAAATATTTTTGTGAAGTTAAAATTCTTCTTTGAATAGTTGCATCCCACCTACTCACAGAAATGGGCCCAAATCATGCCACAGCTCAGATTCTCAGAATTAAATGTGTATAGTAAGGGACTATTTTCTCCCTTGCTTCTTGCTGTGCAGAGTGACACTGAATACCTAATGGTATTGTTTCCACAGGGGGTCTTAAAGGCCTCACATAAAATGGAAAACATGTCTTGCTTGTCACGTTGTATCTAGTACAATGCCTGACACATAATAGATGCTCAGTAAATATTGAGTAATGAGAGAGTTGTATAACGTCCCATAGGGAGGCCATATGATATAGTTTGGCTCTGTGTCCCCACCCAAATCTCATCTTGCACTGCTCTCCCATAATTCCCACGTGTTGTGGGAGGGAGCTGGTGGGAGATAATTTGAATCATGGGGACAGTTTCCCTTATACCGTTCTTGTGGTAGTGAATAAGTATCATGAGATCCGATGGGTTTATCAGGGATTTTCCCTTTTGCATCTCTCTCATTTTCTCTTGCCACTGCCATATAAGAAGTGCCTTTCACCTCCCACCATGATTCTGAGGCCTCCTCAACCATGTGGAACTGTAAGTCCAATTAAACCTCTTTTTCTTCCCAGTCTCAGGTATATATTTATCAGCAGCATGCAAATGGACTAATATACCATAGATCTACATTCATTCTGAGGTGGAATATTGACAACCTTTTCAAAATACTAATGAAATAACCCACATTTGTCATATTCTTGAAATCCAGAAGAGCAACTCTATTCTCATACATAGACATTTTTCTCTTTTGATTCTAGAAATGAGAGTAGTTAGCTAGCTAGGCAAGCAGAGTTATAGTCATAACTACATGACTATAGCCCACTGATCCTGCAGAAACACGAACTCATCGAAAACTCTATGCCAGGGCATGGACAAAATGAATCTTATCCATGCATGTACTGACATGAAGATGTCCTTGAATGGGGACATTTGACCAGGCTCACCTGTAGGAGTTGAATTCTACTTTGATTCTTATTAATATGGGAGGGCCATTATACACAATAATATAAAAATATTTAAAGACAGAACATTTAAACAAATCTTTATCTCTAATTATCATTCCAGTTCTGGCTTTAGTAGACATCTTTGGAATTATATATGGTGATTGAATCTCACTTTTAATTAGGATATTTACTCATGTAGAGAATGTATCATGTATGAGTTTTATCTTGTCTATTTTTATAGTTCCAATTTATCTTTTTAAATTTACACTTTTGTTTTGTAATAAAACTGAAAAAATAAATCTTAAAGATATAATTAAGAGTGTTCTAAATACCTAAAGGAATTCAGTTGCACATTTCTGAGGTTTAACAAGAAAATTAATGTCTCATCTAATGTAATAATACTCTGAATGGGATTTTTATCAAATCATTTTTAAAGAATTATAAAGAGTTGAGTAAGTATTATACAAACTGGAAAGGTAGTATTAGGTCAACTTGAATCCAATAACAGCAAATCTTATGTAATTCTGCCATACAATACATCTCACTTTTCATTTTAAGTATGTTCTTCTACTTCTGCGGGACTCTGGCTCTTCTCCTCTAACTCCTTGGTAAAAAGTAATGCTTTGATTTAGGCAATGATTAGACTGATAGGAGATTCTATTTTGAGGTAGCTGAATTCTGGGAAATTAGTGATTCAGTATTTTCCTTGTTGCTATTATTCCAAGTTGCCCTCTGAGAAAGTTAAAGAATAGTGTTAAGTTACCTTTTACCATTTCCCAACCCTCTGTTTTTTCTTCGAAGGATTTCATTTCCAGTTCCTGGAAAACAAATTGAACATCTGTTGGTATTATTCGAGAGAACTAAGACTTATTTGCAATTACCTAGAACCTAACAGAACTTTTTTTGAGACCCAAGGAATCCATCTTTTCTTCCAGCTCCCCATCAGCCTCCCAGTGAGCAGAACTCCTCTCACCCCTTCCAAAGCTTTGGTATACACTTAAGTCATGCTTTCCATACCACATTCCCATCCCTTGCTTTAAACCAGGGATTTGCAAACTATCTCTGTTTTGGAAAATAAAGTTTTATGGACAGCTATGCCCATTTGTTTACATATTGTCTACGGCTGCTTTCACACAACAGAGTTGCATACTTATGACAGACAGCAGATTGCAGAAAAAAAAAAAAAAGATATTCAATGCGTGTCCCTTTACAGAAAAAGTTTGCCAACCTCTGCTTTAAACTCATAGATTTACCCACAAGCCCGTCTGGAGATTTTCAGAGATCCAGTCAGCTAACCCTCCAGAATATCAGCAATGTTTTCTTCACATTTGTGATTATACCTTCCTGCAAATAAACAGTTTAAGGATTTATGTTTTAAAAATTAATGAAGTTGGATTTTTTTAAGAGCAGCTTTAGATTTACAGTAAAATTAAGCAACAGCACAGAGCGTTCCCATATACTTCCTGTTCCCACACATATTTAGCTGCCCTCACTGTCGACATCCCAAACCACAGTGGTACATTTGTTATAGGTGATGAACCTACATTGACACATCATCAACCAAACACTATAGTTTATGTAAGGGTTTAATAAGGGTTTACTACTAGTATTGTATAATCTATGGGTTTGACAAACATATAATTGTTACAGGAAGTAACTAGTCAGACATGAGCAGAGCAGAAGAGGGCTCCCCCACCCCCACCCCCGACCCCGACCCCACACATACCAGGAATGTCAGGTAACCATCAGGTGATGGTCAGGCAGTTGGTAGCTGTTTCTCTAAAATAATAATTGGTCACAGCCGCTGCCAGGGAAAGGCCATTTCCCAGTAAACAGAAACACCTGAAGCTTCCCGATAAGCTATTTCAGGAGTGGGGTGAGTGGGCTCACACATGCACACTAAGAGGCAAAATGGCAGAGTTTAACTAGTATATGACCTTCTGGGGACATTCAGCTGGTAAGGGAAGAACACCTCAAATGAGCATGGATACAACTCTAGTAAACATACTGCATGCAGCCCCTCCAAAGTGCTGGCAGGGCACTATGCTTACAGACAGCCCATTCCAGGGAAGAATGAGGGGAGAAGGGATGCAAGACCCCGGAATTATGCCAACACATAAAACTCCAAGTCAAAAGGTCAAACCATATGCTTGTCTTTCAAGTCACCTACTTGGCCCTCTTCCAAGTGCTTTCCTTCCTTCCTTCTGTTCCTGCTCTAAAACTTGCCTCAGTCTCTCCTCTGCCTTAATCCCCTCAAATTCTTTCTTCTGAAGAGGCAAGAATTGAGGTTGCTGCAGACCCATACGGATTTGCTGCTGGTAACATATTTTGATGCCATATGACTCTGATAATTTCCACTGCTAACATAGTTCATGTAGCCACCATTGCAATATCATACAGAATATTTTCACTGGCCTAAAAGCTCTCTGTGCTCTGCCTATTCATCCCTCCCACTCTTTTAACACCTGCCAACCAATGGTCTTTTCTATTATCTCCAAAGTTTTGACTTTTTTAGAGTGTCATACAGCTGGAATTATAAATTTAATAATATATAGCCTTTTAAGATTGGCTTCTTTCATTTAGTAACATGCATGTCAGTTTTTTTCATGGCCTTTCATGGCTTGATAGCTCATTTCTTTTTAGTGCTGAATAATATTTCATTGTCTGACTATACCACAATTTGTTTATTTATTCACTTACTGAAGGACATCTTGTTTGCTTCCAAGTTTTGACAATTATGAATAAAGCCAGTACAGTATAAACCTTCATGTGTAGGTTTTTGTGTGGACATAGTTTTCAATTCACTTATGTAAATATCAAGGAGAGCAACTGCTGTATTGAATAGTAGGACAAAGTTCAGTTTTGTAAGAAACTGCTAAACTGCATTCTAAATGCTTCCAAAATGTCTTGCAAATGCTGTACCATTCTGCATTGCCACCAGCAATAAATGAAAGTTCCCATTGCTCCATATCTTCACCAGCATTTGGTGTTGTTAGTGTTTTAGATTTTTGTCATTATTTTAATTTGCAATTCCCTAATGATATGAGATGTTGAACATCTTTCTATATGCTTATTTGCCATCCCTGTATCTTCTCTGGTGAGGTGTCTATTCAGATCTTTTGACCATTTTTTTCCAACAGGTTGTTTATTTTCTTAGTGTAGAGTTTTAAGGGTTCTTCTTTTGTGTTGAGTAATAGTTTTTAATCAAATGTATCTTTTGCAAATATTCTCTTCCAGTCTATGAAGACTATATTTTTGAAAGGTGCTATGATGAGTTTCTATTATTTAAAGCCAGTGGTTTATCTACCACTGTAAAATTTATAAATTATGTCTATAGATCAAATCAAGTTTTTAAAATAGGTTTTTAAATATTTGCATTACAAAATTAACACATGTGCTGCAGAAAATTTGGAGAGAAAATGCACATACACATCATTTTTTTCTTTCATTATACATCTCTTCACATATTAAAGAATAATATTTATGCATAAAGAATATTGATATCACAAAAATAGAAGTATATTGTACTAAATTTTAAAAATATTTTAAACATATTATGTATATTTATTGAACCATTACATATTATAACATTGTTTTAAATGAACACATATTTTATTACATAGTTGACTAATGTCTCATGTTAGATATGTTGATTTTTATTTTTACCTTTTCAAATAATGCACTGATGAGTATTCTAAAAAAAATCTTAGTATACATCTTGTTTATTTATTTAAGTTTCTATAAATGGAATTGTTGTGCTAAAACATGTATAAAATGTAAAATTCCTGATACATATGGCCAAAATATCCTCCAGAAAGTTTATTTTTTGTCTAATTAACATCCTTGGGAAACCATTAGGACAGTGTTATAAATACTCAAATGTTTCATTTATGAGGTGCAGTAACTTACATCCATTCACCATATGATCAACCCTTTTTACACACA
This sequence comes from Homo sapiens, assembly GCF_000001405.40. Lineage (NCBI taxonomy): Eukaryota > Metazoa > Chordata > Mammalia > Primates > Hominidae > Homo > Homo sapiens. The sequence continues at coordinate 52,290,781 of NC_000018.10, read as the reverse complement.
AAGTGATATTAAATAATTTGATCTATTCACTAACACTAAACTTGACTCCAAATTAATTCAGCTGTTATCAAACACCAATTCACTTTGAGAGAATAAAGGGCTAAGAAAAAAATAGCTAACTTTAAAAATAAGCAGACAAATGAGCAAACAAATGACAAAAACAAAAGCAAAAGACCTGTGACTCCATGTATGAAGGGGGTCTTAGAAAATGTTCTAAAACATGATTTCAATGTGGTCAATATCGTTAGACTAAGGACATAATCTTCCAGTATTAATATATGAAAAATTAACTCTCATATGGAACTCTAACACTGACATTCGCCTAAACATGATTTATTTCATTACTTCAAATTCCTATCTATATACATAATAAATACCGACTCCTTTGGAGTATTTAAATTTCTTTACTTTCGATGGAACAGGCAATAACACTAGCTTCCTTTAAGAAGCAACTTCGTAAGATGAACTTAGGGTCAGTCAGACTTGATATCCAGCTCCAACTTTTTGGCGAATCCCTTAACCTACATAAGCCTCAACTTTTTTGTCTATAACAGAGGCAAACTACCTACCTCATTAAGATTAAGAGGTTTAAATAAGGTAAAGTAGGCAGAGCACCTGGTAGCTGACCTCACTGTTTTTACATTTTCTGTTTCTTCCATGGTGAACAAGGCTGTCTTAGGAAATTGTGAACAGGCATATTCCCAAAGGAAATGAATGATACTAAATGGGAGCCAGGAGTAGCCCTTGAACATTTTACAAAGCTTTAGCTTTGCTCTGTGTTAACAATTCCTGGCCTGCACAGGCAGCTAGTGAGAAAAATGATACTATTGAAGGCATGATATTGGAATGAGAATGGAATTCAAGTATCTCAGTAATAATAATGAGAAAAAAAATACAGAAATGCAAGAAGCTATGGTTAAGCATTGCATTTTGCCACTGAATGTCAAGGCAATTTTTGGATACTCTGATTTTTGTCTAAATGATTTTCTCCAAGATTAGATGGCATTGTAATGCCACCAAATAAATAATGCTTACATTCTGGTTCCACAGCTGACTGATGGCTTCTGAGTAGAAATTGAATGAACAGTTTAATGGTAGTTCAAATAGTAGCAAATAGTTGTTTGCCAGTTTACAATCACTTATTCTCATTCGCTCTCTGTCATTTTCTGAGCTATGTTGCAGTTAAGAAAGCTGTCATACAAAATGAAAGTGGCTTTTTCAAGCAGAAAACAAATGTACTCTGGCTGGCAGACTGGCATTTAATCATTCAGTCTCTTAGAGTCATTACTCTGCTGTGAGCATAAAACATCCTGCATTGTTTATGGAGGAGGAGATAGGCTGTGAACACCTGGCCCATGTGGCATCTTTTGCCAACCTCTGCAAGTAGGTACCACCGAAGTCTTTGTTGTCAGTCTGGGAAGTGATCCTTCTTGGTGTGACAGCTGGGTTTATCAGCAGTGGCAGCAGTAGAATGCCTCTGGGACTATGGCTCCCAGATTCAAACCTCCTGGTTTGGGGGTGAGGGTGTTATAGGGTGGTACTCACTCTTTGGCTTGGATCATGGTATCACTCTCTATGGCTCAGTGATTGGAAGCTATTTAAAATACAAGTTTCCTGTGGTCCTCTCTGATTTTTCACCCATTTACATAAACGAGTTAACAAATGTAGACTCTAGTGTCTTCTGATAACACTGAAAAAAATAAATATTCCCTCCAGTTTTAGAAAATGCAGGAAGGCATAATCACAAATGTAAAGGAAACATTGCTGATATTCTGGAGGATTGGATGAATGGATCTCTGAAAATCTCCAGACGGGCTTGCAGGTAAACCTAAGAGTTTAAAGCAGAGGTTGGCAAACTTTTTCTGTAAAGGGACACACATTGAATATCTTTGCTTTTTTCTGCAATCTACTCTCTGTCATAACTATGCAACTCTGTTGTGTGAAAGCAGCCACAGACAATATGTAAACAAACGGGCACAGCTGTCCATAAAACTTTATTTTCCAAAACAGAGATGGTTTGCCTTTCCGAATGATTTGTGTACATCCAGAGCCCCTTCTCCCACCCTTCTCCACCATCCCCCTACCCAACCCCATGCATTTTAGTGGGCTGGTGTCTTTGGGGAGAAGGTAAAAGGTGTTGATTAAATTCACCTGCACAGAGCAGTGGCAAATTACGCATGCCCACAAGTGGGCGCTGTGCTCCCTAGCACCGGCCCCAGGTAGCTCACGATTAGATAATACCATTCCTAAAAATTCAGAAATAGCTGATTTTCCTCTGGACTCTATCTGTACCCTCCAGGTAGAAGGGTAAAATAAAGATGTTGTGTTATTGAAAGAGAAGTAATGTATTTTCTTCTTTCCACTGGTTGAATATATAAATATATCTGGTTAAATGTTTCCTTCTGAAGCCACAGTCTCAATTCCTTTGAGTGAAACGAATATTTTGATGAATATTATTAATAGAACAGCCTCAAGGATTGGAAAACTCAAACTTTGGAATTTTCTCCAAGTTATCATGCATGCATATTCACACTTAGGCTTTCCATTTGTATGTCTTTTAGAATAGTTCCTTGGAATACCACAATTTTTGCTATATTTAATTGTTTCTCATAAAGGGCTATTAATACTGTACTAAGTTTGGTTAATTCAATTAATTTAAAAAGATGCTCATCTGTCCTCTACTCTATACAATTCAAATTCTTCACTTTCCAATGCTGTGTTCAGGCGTTCTCTCCATGTATTCCATAACATTCCTTTATTACAGATGATGGACTGCAGAAAGTTCTCATTCTTTCTTCTATGCTTTGACATTTGGAGGTTCCTTTATGAGGAACCAGTGGTATAATTGTCAAAGGTGTGGACAGCAGAGTTTCCATTCAATCCACTATTTGGTTCCAGATAATTATTAGGTATCCTCCATTTCAGGAAAAATATAGATTGATATTTAAAGGACCAGGTGCATTGGCAAGGCGGGTTATCATACATGAAAACAGAAGAGACTAAACTAGGTTGTTTAATTTGAAAGAAGGCATGAGACCATTGAATATATCATTAGGAAAACTTAGAGAGAATGTATTAAATTTGTGATTTATATTGTTTTTTTACGTGTCAAAAGTATTGATGTAGACTCAGGAGCAGGGATTGGCTTAACATTTTTTTGAAATAAAATGTGTTATAAATAAATAAATGATGGCTGCCCTTAGGCCTCTGTGTGCCTTTCATTGTTGCCAAAAGAGATTCATACCATCTTCTAAATCCAATTAGACTACCCATCAGAGGTGTTAGAAGTCAAACTCTTCTAGGGAAGTCTGTACAGCAAAAACAATCTCTATTTTTCCCTTACAGGAAAGATCATGATAAATCAATGCCAAGCTTGCAAGTACATTTGTATCTCTACTGAAATTCAGCACCCTACTGAGTTCTCTAAGGCACAGGAAATAAGAGAAATACCAGGAATGTTTTCACAATAGAACGTGAAGAAAAATGTCTTATTCATCAGTTCCCAAGACTCAGCTTCAGGAGCTGAAGTTAAAACCACCACATATTATCAGGAGTTGATAATAGGTTATTTGCTTTCAGTAAGAAATAGAAAAAGAAAGGCCAGAGGGAAAAATAAGCTAACACCAGTTAAAAAGAGATATTTTTGTTATTAAAGTGTTAGGCGGAAACTTACACCCATGCAGGATTTTGTGAATCGCCTGGCACCCCTGCATGTCAGGGCCATCCTTCCTGCAATAGTTGCGTCTTTCATCTTCTCATCATGCAGCCACATAAGGATCTTTCTTATTAGATCTGGTTTGATTTCCACCCCTTGTGAAAAATTGTTTAATGCCATTGTCAGAGCCGACAGTGCTTGGAACATTTTAATCTTGTAAAACGCTCCCCTCAGTTACACAGGGGAGTCTGCTTTTGAGCTTCCGATGTTATCTTGAATGATAAGGGCCCTGCATGCACATCTCTTTCCAATTTATTTTATTAACATCCCTAACATCTCAGATAATTTTAACGTATAGTGATATATCATGTTCCTCTAACAGTTAGCAAGCGCATTCTAAAGTTATCTCTGTAAACACATCCATTTTACTCTTGGTATAAAACTGCTGTTTGAAGGGTGGTGGTAGAAGGAACTGAAATGAATCATGAACAGATACAACCATGCTGCCAAGTAGAATGCTAAGAAGAGGGATGAGGAGAGGGCATGGAAAACCTTGGTATAGGGGAAATGGAAAGAGGTGAGAAATATTTCAGGCATGGAATCAACAAGAGGAGATAAAAGTGAGAGAGGGGAATTAAGTGATTTCCAAGGTTTTGATGGGCAAGAAGAAAGTTGCCAGGGCTAGTTTCTGCAAATCGTTTAGCAAGAATTACTTGCTGCACCATTTAGTTAAACGACAGTGTGTGCACAGAGGACCCAAGGCAAAATGTTGCTAGTTTTTTTCATTCGCTTATTCATTCATCAGTTTGTTCATTCCTGCCTGGATTGCCTATCTACTGGGTTCCCAATAATCTTAGAAAATACAGAGAAATAAAGCATGATCTCTGCTTCCAAGGTTCCCAGCAGGGGGAGGTGTGCATGTGACTACCATAGCCTACAGGATGAAGGCATGACCTCTTCTGAGGTGCGGAAAAAGAAGAAATACAGAGCAGGAAGAGTCCATACAAAACAACTCCACAGAGGAGATGGTGTTTAAGCTGAGCCTTGGAGAATGAGTAAGAATCCATCAGGGAGAAAAAATAAATAAAAGGATCCTTTTAGGCACAGGAAACATGAAGCAGAGAAAATTCTGAGTGCGCTCTCCCCTCCTCCTGGTATCTCCTCCCTCCTTCCTGGTGTTCTGCTGCTACTGGGCTCTGTTGCCTTCAATAAAATACCATGGTCTTTTATCATAATAGTCACAAAATGGCAGCCATTCCACAAACCAGTTTTTCCCTCTGGACCTTGATTCCTACACACTGGCAAATGACAAAGTTTTAGAACCCCTTTATTACAATGCATTTTGCAGGGGATCAGATGGAGTGGGGTGCAATCCTTCAACCTAGAAAACCAAGGCGGGACAAGTTCCTGCTTGCATTAAAGGTTTGTCCTGTCTGAGTAAAGACACTGCAAACAAACTGCTGCCACACAACCAAATAGGAAGACAGATTTAATTCCCAATGTAATCAGGGCATTCAAGCCAATTAAGAGATACGATAAACAGATTGGAGAGCAAAATGTATAGCAGGGGGTCATGCTCCCAGGAGATATACAGTTTTCCCAAGGAATTTAAAAAAGAAGTAAGTAGCTGCAGGCAGAATTGGTCAGCAACAAGCAACATAAAAATATAAGGGTTCAACAGGGCGTGGTGGCTCACGCCTGTAATCCCAGCACTTTGGGAGTCTGAGGTGGGTGAATCACCTGAGGTCAGGAGTTTGAGACCAGCCGGACCAACATGGAGAAATCGCGTCACACTTAAAAAAAAAAAATTACCTGGGTGTGGTGGCGCATGCCTGTAATCCCAGCTACTCGGGAGGCTGAGGCAGGAGAATTGCTTGAACCTGGGAGGTGGAGGTTGTGGTGAGTCGAGATTGTGCCATTGCACTCCAGCCTGGGCAACAAGAGCGAAACTCTGTCTAAAAAATAAATAAACAAATAAGGCTTCTTCTCATTGGCCTTCCCAGATCCTGGTCTTTGGAGACTACAGGTTAGATGCAGAAGGAATAAGCTAAGATTTATTCTGTACACATAGAGTTGCTTTGTATTTTCCTACCATGTTAATATTGTTGATGAAGTTCAATTATGTTCTTCCCTTTTTGGCCCTAGGGTTAGGTGGGGAGTAAAAAGACCTCCATCCAATGTCCTGATCTGACTCTCCAGTAATTAAAAAAGAAAAATTATTCTTTCAGAAATGCTCCTGAGAGGATAGTGCTTACATGCTTTCTAAGACATAATTGACATTATAGTTCTGGGGTGACTTTCCGGCAAATATCACTTTACTGATATTGATAATATACTGTAAGCATTGAATTGACTTTTTAAAAAGATTCTGAATGCTTTTTATGATTCTCAAGCACTGCAAGGTATTGGGATCAGTGGCTTCAATTGGAAATGTTTTATTTGTTCATGTAATAAAAAGTACATACTTGTTATTAGTCCCATGATTCCTTCTGTTGAATACAATAGTGTTTGCCTTTACTCCAGACTTCATTGCTTTTTATTCGGCTTTGTGCACTTCATTGATTTTTCCTGTTACTATTATTTCCTTCAATAAGCTGTTTTAAAATAACATAGTTTTTTTTAACCTTAATTTTTCCTTTTTGGCTTCCTTCCAGAGCTGAGTAAAGGACTGTGCTGCAGATTTTTCACTGTTCCTCTTTTTCTTTTTGTCCCCTCTTATTTATCTCTCCCATGATATTGCATGACAAAACGGGGGGGGGGTGGTCAATAAATTACTCCCTTTCTTCTCCTCTTGAGCTTCGAGCCAATTGGAAAATTTTAAAAAATAGACAATGAACAAATGGAAGTGAAAATATCAGCCTTTACTACTGATAAAGCTGGTTGTAGAGTATAGTTTCTGGCTGCTGAAAGTCCCTTGTTGAATTAGACAGACTTCACCACATTGTCACAGACAACCCTGGAAAAATGGCAGGCCTGTCTAACACAAGTAGGTCCTCCTAAACTAGTGTCTGTGTGTCCTCTGGACAGGCTGGCAAAACTAATATCCATGTGTCTTCTGGACAGGCTGGCTCTGAAACAGAGAGACAGGAAAGGTTGAACCGGGTATGTTTTGAAATCAGGAAAAATAACTAATGGGTAGCAGGCTTAATACCTGGGTGATAAAATAATCTGTACAACAAATCCCCATGACACAAGTTTACCTATGTTGCAAACCTGTATTTGTACACCAAACTGAAAATAAAAGTTAAAAAAAAAAAAAGAAAGAAGTCAGGTATTTTCTGAGCCAAATTTCTCTTTCCAAGCCCATGGCTCATGTAAGTGTCTGCCCATCCCAAGGTGAACAGTGGATAGGGGGGTGAAGAGCAGCCAGGAAGTCACCACTGTGGAAGACCCCACTGCGAACTGAGGCTAAGGGAAACAGAAGGCTGAGTGGAAGCTTCAGTTTCCAAGAAAAAGACGTAAAATGTCCCTTGGGCCTTAGTTAATGAAGTTAACTAAGTTCCAACCTTTTCTCTTTCTTTTCTTTAATCTCACACCTGGTGCTTGTATAATCTAAGGTGGGGAGTTGAGATTATTCTTTTGTTTGTTTGTTTGGGATGGAATCTTGCTCTGTTGCCCAGGCTGGAGTGCAGGGACGTGATCTCAGCTCACTGCAACCTCTGCCTTCTGGGTTCAAGCAATTCTCCTGCCTCAGCCTCCTGAGCAGCTGGGACTACAGGCACGCGCCACCACACCCAGCTAATTGTTGTATTTTTAGTAGAGACGAGGTTTCACCATATTGGCCAGGCTGGTCTCGAACTCCTGACCTCGTGATCCACCTGCCTTGGCCTCCCTAAGTGCTGGGATTACAGGTGTGAGCCAACCTGCCCAGCCGAGATTATTCTTTAGAACATGTCAGTTTGGGTAGTTTAAATGTATAGTATTCAAAGTAGTTAAACATTTCCAATGTTACCAGACCAAAATGCCAATTACTACTGTGTCCCCGAAAAGCAAAAGACAAATATCTGTTGAATGAGGACTGAAACAAACAATGTGGTCACTGGAAATAGAAAGGAAAATTAATCACATTTCTCATATGCGTGACCTGCACTTCTTATACCAGGGATAGAAACTGAGTTTTCTTGGTACTTAGTTGCTTATATTTTATCTTCATTTCTGGAGAAATGATATTTCTCAGATTAATGGATTGAACAGTTGATGGTGCAACCTCATTGAGATGAGGCACAGAATTTCATGATTTGGTCCACAGTGATTTCCTGGCCCTTCTCCAAACACTGTCCTTTAGTATATGTGAAGAAAACCTTCTTATGGAGAGAAAGAAGGTGAGGAGTTGGAAAAGAGAGTATAGGAAATTTGTGGGATTCATGAGATATAAAGAGTAAAGGAAAATAAGACAGGAGCTTGCCTGGGAAGTCTCAAGCCCTTTATGCTTCATTGTTCTCTCTACTCTTGAGGATAAGTCTAAGTCTTCTTATGAGAGCCCCGCATGCATCTCATTTACAGTATTTATTCCATTTTTCTCACCACTGAGAAAGGAAGGGGAGCTCACATGATAAACATTTGGGTTGCACACTCAAGGAGTTCCAAGCTTTTCCAACATGTGGTGATTAATAACGTGGGCTCCTGGGCCCTACTGCCAACCTACCAGTCACAGCACTGTGATCACTTCCCTGAGCTTTGTTCTCGTCATTTGTCTAAAGGGATAATGATAGTCCCTCATGATGACTAAATGAGAAGGTACACACAAAGGTTGTAGCACAGGGTCTATGGCAGTGTGAGCAAACAACAATCACATTTTAAAATAATAGCAATACAAAGATTATGAGCAATAGCAGATGAAGACAGCAAAGTGAAAGAACATACATATATATATATATATATATATATATATATATATATATATGTACACACATACACACACACACACAAACACAAATACATACACACACACAGTTGAAAATCCTGTGATCACAATCCCAGATTAGCAAATTTATTTTACAGGTCCTTCAAGTCTTTAAAAAGTTAAAAATTAAAAAATTAAATTGAAATTCCTTCTGTGTCCCTTCACCTATCCCTCTCCCTCTCTGCCTGTCTCCCCATCTATCCACTAACCTGAAGTTGGTATCTATTCTTTTGACCACAATTTATACGTTATTAATGGACTATTTAAAGCATTTTTGGTAACATACTATGTATATCTTTCTGAATGATGTTTTCTGTTAAAAATATTATTTGTAAAATTCATCCACATCCATTAGTTTTTATTCTTGATTAGCATTATTGTGCACTGTTCTCACAATTCATTCATCAATTCTCCTGTTGATGACATTGAAGTTAGTACCAGTTTTTGTCTATTCAGAAACTGTTGGGATCACTCTTGATCATGTCCCCTTATAGAAAAAAGCTGAGGTTTCTCATAAAGTTGTCATAGCAATTTGAATCTCCAATTTGCAGTTTATAGAATTGTTAGTTCCCGTTTGTTTGTTTGTTTGAAGAGACTGGGTCTCGCTCTGTTGCCCAGGCTGGAGTGCAGTGGTGCCGTCCTAGCTCACTGCACTCTCAAACTCTGGATTCAAGGGAACCTCCCACCTCAGCCTCCTAGGTAGCTGGGACTATAGGTAGACATAACCATATCCAGAATTGTTATATTTTTAAAATTTGTCTATCTAATGAATGTGAATTTGTACCTCATTCTGTTTTAATTTGCAATCCTCTGATAAATAGCAAGGTTGTACATCTTTTTATTTGCTTACTTCTACTTTTATGGGCCGACAATCCCTAAACTTTGCCCATTTTTAAAATTATTTATTTATTTTGTTTTCTTGATTTGTAGATTTTTATTCTGATTATTATATCTTTGTTGCTTATATATGGTAAACATATTATCTTTTAGCTATATAATACTTTTAGAATATAGAAGTGTTGAATTTTATAGCCATCAGTATTTTTATTCCTTCCCTTATAATTTGTCTTTTTGTGTTTATAGATTCCTTCCTGTCCTAATGCCATAACAATATGTTCCTATTTTTCCAAGATATTTTGAGTGTTGCTTTGTCATATTTATGTCTTTCATCCCTGAAACCTACTTTTATGAACATGGAAGATAGGAATTTAATTTCATTGCTGTTATTGTTATTTTTTCCTTTTTGGTAATCATTTGGTCTAGCACCATTTACTGCATAGTTGCTGGTGATTGAGAAAGCACTCATGGGATATACTGGGTTTTAAGATATGCAGACGGCTGTTTCGGTTTCTTTATTTTGTTCTATTATTCTACTTTCTAATCTTGGACCAAAGCCACACTCAGGGATTTTTTTTTTTTTTAATTTTTGTATTAGCTTCATCATAGTAAGAATCCTCTTTATCATCATCATTTGTTGAATGCCTACCATAGGCAAAGTCCTGAGCTATTTTCTTTATATCCATTATTATACTCAATCTTCACAACAACTCACTGAGTTAAGTATTAACTTTACTGTACAGATGAAGAAACTGAGACTTTAAGAAGTTACAACTTACCCACGCTTATATAACCTGGAGGTGGGAGAGCTAGGATTCAAACCTACCTCAGTCTGATTCCAATGTTTATTCTCTTAAACATTTATCTTACATTGCCTTTCCGAACAAGACTTAGGGATCATATTGTCCAGCAGTTCTCAGCGTTGACTGCATATTGGAATCATCAAGAGAGCTTTTCCAAAGTATTGGTGACCACACCCACTACACTCAAATCAGAATATCCATGGGGGTAAACCTCAGATGTTTCTATTTTTTAAATTAAAAATTGGATTGCTGCTATAAAGACACATGCACACGTATGTTTATTGCAGCACTATTCACAATAGCAGAGACTTGGAACCAACCCAAATGTCCATCAATGACAGAATGGATTAAGAAAATGTGGCACATATACACTGTGGAATACTATGCAGCCATAAAAAAGGATGAGTTCATGTCCTTTGTAGGGACATGGATGAAGCTGGAAACCATCATTCTCAGCAAACTATCGCAAGGACAAAAAAACAAACACCGCATGTTGTCACTCATAGGTGGGATTTGAACAATGAGAACACTTGGACACAGGAAGGGGAACATCACACACCGGGGCCTGTTGTGGGGTGGGGGGAGGAGGGAGGGATAACATTAGGAGATATACCTAATGTAAATGATAAGTTAATGGGTGCAGCACACCAACATGGCACATGTATACATATGTAACAAACCTGCACATTGTGCACATGTACCCTAGAACTTAAAGTATAATAAAAAAAATTAGATGGAGATAATTGTAGAGGTGGTTCACATTTTTAAGCTCTCTGGATTCTAATATGCTTCCAAGATTAAAAACCACTGATTTAGTCTTATATACTTATTTTACTGATGAGAAAACTAAGATTCAAAGATAGAATTTAACTTGCCCAAATCTCATACCAGTTTAATGACAGAACAGGAACCACAACCCAACTACTTTTATTTATAGTCTGAGGATCTCTTCAGGTGATCACATACTTCCTCTGCATAATTTACATAAAGCAGTGGCTAAAAATAAATATATCCATAAGTACAAATACGTGCTGTGTCACAGAGTCCTCACCATGTCAAATGTAAGGCCAGGGCAAGAAAGGCAAAGAGTAAACCTGACCAGGGTCATCTGTTTCTCTGACTGCTGGTATCTAGTAGCCACTTATTTGTTACAAAATCAAGGAACCAGGAGTCTCCTCATATCCACAAATAAGCCTACTTGTAATTTTCAAAAAATTTGCTATTGCTTATTGACAACAAAAATTCCTCAATACTTGGTAATTAGAAATAAAGCTGGAAAATTACCATGCAAAAATGTCACGTTGACTTGGGTTCAATCAGTGAAAGTCTGAGAGCTGGAAAGACTATGGGATCAGAGGAAGAAAAGAAAAGCTTAGGAGGATACATATATGGACTGAAATCATTACCTAGGTAGAAATCCTTGAGAGGGAATGGGAAGAAACTTCTTTTGTCAGTAAAGAAGAGAATCTTACTATTTTGTGATGCTGCAATATTTTTAATGTTTTTTAATGGGAAATTTCTAACATACTCCTCTAGAAATGGAGACGAATAATAAATAAATAGATATAGTAAAATATATAAAAATAATAAAATGAACACATGTATCAATATTATTGATACATTATTATTATTACTAATATTATTATTTTGTCAATCATGACATGCAGTTTTGAGTACTTTCCTCCCTAGATGCCCACAGAATCTTTAGATGTGGTATATTCCTAAAGAGAAACTAGTAGTTCCAGAAATATGAGGCTCAGTCTTTGCTTTATGCACAAGTCAAAGAAAAGACTTAAGGAACATTGTTTTAGCTAGAGATTGTCCTTGACCTTTATTCATCCTGTGTTCATACCATCCATTCAATTGTACATTATAACATCAACAGCCCAAACTAAGTTTTTAAATGGTAAATTTGTACTTTCATACACAGGTGATAAGCTGAAATGCTCAGGTAACACATAGAGTTTCTGACTGCCAAACAGCAGTACACTTTTGGCAGGATATTCGTATAGCAGTGTTTGTATGTTTGGAATATTTTATTGCCTTCTGTCTTCATTATTTTATAAAAACAAATGGAAGATGAAAATGCTGATACAAGAAGTGTAGATCTCATAAACCTAACACAGTTGAGACAAAGATGGAAATTACTCTGAGTGCTAAAAGTGGTAAATCAACAAGAAAATCATTGGGCTTATGCCAGTCAAGTGTTTGTTCAGCAGTGAATAAGAAGATAACAAACAAGAACATATCTGAAGTTCTAGAAATAAATTATTGAAACGTGTGTAAAAGGCAAAATATAATTGAGGACATATTGAGGACATTTTCACTGTCTATGCCTGAATTCACTACCCACTACCCTCATAATACATAAGTGCATTGTTTTTCAATCAATGTTAATACACATTGTTAATAATGCATTATGTATTAAAGACATTTCCTATATAGCTTTTATAAGCCAAAAATTATCTTTTCTATATTACGAATTTTTTTCTAATTGCTGAGATAAGAGTAATGTAACAGTACTTACCGGCCTATAAAATCACAAACCCACACATATGCACACACAAGAATGACCTTTAAACCTTCTAGTCCAGTCTTATGTCAATAATGTGTTGTGAAAGGGTATGGCTGGCACACATTATAATATGTGTGATTATATAAATCTCAGTAATGAAGAGATGATCCCCCAGAATCCTTGTTTCTTGTATAATCCATTATGCATGCTTCATTGATCACAGCCATATTTTCCATACCCTCTTCTTATCCAAGGAAATCCTATATGTCCCCACTCCACATACTTCATCTTGGAGAATAAAAGGGTAATTTCTATCATTGGGGGTTTGTACTATCATTTCAATTTACTTATCACATAGCAACAGGCATCATATATACTAGATGCTCAATATCCCTTGAGTTTCACCTGCTAATACCAAATCTATAAAAGTTTTTAAATCAATTTTATCATTAATCCATTTACTTATTTGAGACTTATCAACAACTTATTGTGTGGCATTCCCTTGGTCAAAAGAAAGATGATGAAACACAGCTTCCTGACTTTAAGAATCAGTCTATCTAGAGGGGGATACTGACATATCAACCACAAATTTTACTATAAGGCAAAAAACTACAAATGATACAATTAGGAGAAATATACCATTTGGCAGATTGAAGAAAAACTAATTCTGACGAGAGGTACCAGAGTGAAATTCATAAAAGAGGTGGCAATTGAACTGGCCCTGAAACAATAAATAAAATTTTTTGAGTCAGCAAGGAGAAGCCTTCTTTTACTGGTCTTAGGGAACTAGAGATTTAGAGAAATCATTCTTAGTTCAGCATCGAATAAATATTTTTTAAAATATTTTTTGATATATGGATGAACTAGGAGTAAAGTAAGGGAATACTATGACAGCATAAAACAAGGGAAGCATCAATCCACAAAAGACAGTGAAGCTGAAGTAGACATTACTGTTTGATCAATGATGACCTAGCGCCATGATGTTTGAGGAGGCCTTGAATAATGGAAAGTGAAGGGCACACAAGCCTGGGAGCCTAGTAAGGTGCAAGACTGCCTTAAAAAATAACTGGCATAAAGTAGGTTTCCTACAGAAAAACACACTCAGCATGAAAACCAGAAAAAAAAGCTGTACCTCAGGGAGTACTGGGATGTTCGTTTTTTTTATTTGATTTTGAGTAGAGTAGAAACAGGAAAAGGATTCTCAGCTACAAACCTACCTTCAAGCAAGCTTGGGGCTAGAATTCACATTTTCTGAATGGCCCCTAAAACTAGAAGCTAGAAATTTAGTTTAAGTTTATTCTGGGTTGGTAGGGCCCCCAGGTGACTGGATTGGCTGACACATGCACACTTATACCAAGGAAGAATGAAATTTCAACCCAGGCCGTACAAGTACCATCTATATATCTATAATTCTATCTGTCTCTATGTATCAAGTTAGTAGGATAGGTTAAACAACCAAGTAATTGATGCAACAGAAGAGAAAATACTTAACTAAAAATTAAATCTACTGAAATCACCACAAACACATGAAAATCCCTCAAAACACATGAAAACAAAAAATATATATAAAAGATAAGTTACAAGGTAAAGACAATAGACAACATATAATATTTATAAAAAAAGATAACGGATGGGAATTTTTCAGAGTTGATGAAATACACATTATTCTGGAATCCCAACATATCTCACATAGGATAAATGAAATTTAATTCATAAATAGACAGATAATAAAATTATAGAATGCAAAAGGCTATGAGGTATCTTAGTCCATTCAGGTGGCTATAACCAAACCACCATAAAATGGGTGGCCTATAAACAACAAACATTTATTTTAACAAAGGCATCTTCTTGCTTTTTGACTGTGATATATTCTTCAATCATCCTGAAGAGACTAATTAGAATTGCTTTATTTGTTTTAATTTAGTTTCTTTTGATCTTCAATGTGTCTGCTTCCTCTAGTGTTACTTTGCTCTGTCTTGATCATTCTCTTTCATTATGCAAATTTCCTAAAACATCTGGTGACCCTTGATTGTTCATTTCTATACTAAACACTTGCATAGGAAAGCTAATAGGGCTCTCTGTGCATCAGCAGGGCCAGTCAGTTGACAACTTTGATTGGGGTTAATGGTTGTGAAGTAGCTATGATGTTGGGTAAACTCTAAATGTCAGGTTAGGGAGAACTTTATCTTGGTGCCCTGTTTCCTAACCAATTGGCTTTCTGCACCCTAACATCATTTTTTTAGAAGAGGAGTATCTGCTTCTCCATGCACCCCAGGATCCAAGGCCACGTACTTACAATTTAGCAATAACTAACATTTGCTGCTCACTTACCATGGATTAAGAACTCTTCTTAGGTTTCATTGGTATTATCTTATTTAATCTTCTCAATAACCTATTATCATCCCATTTTATGTACAAGAAAACTGGGATAAAGAGAGGCTAAGTAAAGGTCACACAGACTTTATGTGACTCCACAGCACATGCTCTTAATCACCCTGCCCTGTGCTTCTTCAAGAGCTTGAAATGCTCTAGAATTGGACTACTTGGGGTTGACTCCTCTCCTCTCCATTTACTAATATGTGAACTTGAAATTATTACATATCTTTTCTGTGCTTTGTTTTTTTGTCAGGGTAATGAAAATAATAATTTCACCCACCTCACAGAAATGTGGTACTGATCACATGTGATATGTGTTAACACATGTCAGTAGTGTTTACCATGGTGCTTTCTATATATAGTTGAATAGAGAGATGGTAGTTCTAGTCATTATAGGAACTGATATTTTTGCTTCTGGGTATCCCCAGTACCGTCTACAGACCCACATCTCTGCTAAATACCTGTCCAACCTCCAGAGTTGGACTCCATCTGAATTTTCACCAATATTCACATAGGTACTGTCTTTCTTACATGGCTTTTGGAAGCACAGTTTTATTCAAATGCTTGCATGCTTTTTACAGAATATTCTTCATTATTGAAAACCCGGCTACCTTTTCTTTTTCCCTTTAAGTCTAAATAAACTCCAGACTATCCATCTCCGGTTTGGAGAGCACCTCTGTTAATCAAGCCTAGTTATGACATTGTAAGTCATCTGAGCCAGTGGCCCTATGAAGAATAAGTAAAAAAATGAGGCTTGAATTCAGTTGAACCTACCTTCATTATTGGAAAAATAATATAAAAACAAATGGCTTTATTTGAGGAACAGACACTTTTCAAATAATAATTAAGATTTTATATCTTAAATCTAGGTTTAATCACCAGACTAAAATAGTTCATAACAAGGACATCTTTAAAAAAATTAACGACAATAAAAAATAATTCATATAACTCTAATATCAGAAACTGCAAACTACCTGATTTAAAACCTGCCATTTCCAAAAGTACATTTGGAATAGATGGTATTTGCACTAAGATATAGTTGATATCTTGGGTAGGGGATGCTCTCTTGGAAAGCTCAGCTTTGGCACAAAGGAGAAGCCACCATTCCTCTGGTAATTAATGGGCTCTGACCGTGCTAAATGTATCCCTTCAATTGAAAGCCTCCAAAATGAAGGGGAGAAAACTGATTTGAAATGGTTTGGGAGCTTAATTCTGTTAGTGAGAATGAAAATTGATAAACAACATTGGGTGACCTGCTGGAACAAATAGATTCTTGATTCAGCAGGAATCCAGCTGCTATTATGTTCCAGGTGAACAAGCATTACTTAAATAAATAAATCCCTTCTTTTTTTTCTATACTTGCTTTTCAGGTTTGCTACATTTATTAAGTTAGAGACAAATCCAGGCTGGAGGGGCAGAGAATAACCCTCTGGGAGATGCTATGGAATTAGTAGGCTAGATAGAAAGGTCATGGAGCTCCAGAGAGTGGAAGGCTTGTGTTTAGCAGGTTTCTCATAACAGAGCCTGCTATTAACATAGGGGTATTTTGAATTTATAAAGCATCTTGCAGCCCTGGGCTTTGATGTGTACTGCAAACATCAATTAATCCTCACAACATCCCTCATAATGTGAGGAGATGCTGTCCACATCTCTCAGATGGTATAACCTGGAACCAGAGAATTAAGCCGGAAGCCGCAGGACAGACAGGTCAGTCAGTTGTAAATCTGAAGACATGACTGCAGGGTTTGCAAATCCCCACCCCAGGGAAGAAAGTCCGATCCTGTGGATTTTAGCAAGTAAGCAGAAAGAAAAGGAAAACCTTTCATGAGGCTTATGAAAAGAAAAGGAGGGAATCAGCCGTGGAGGAGCAGGTAAAAATATACGTGCTTGAGAAGACAACTCTTGCTCTATGGGATTTTCTGCCAAATATAAAGAAACATAATCCATTTTATGAATGCAAAAAAAGCATTCCATCCCAAGGCAAAATTAAAACTAAATAAGTCTAAAGCTTCCCAAATGTATTGTACTGAAATAAATACTATTTAGTAGTTTTACATAAGAAATTAATTTCTCATTCCTGTTGTAAAATCAGGATTCAAATATCTGCTTTCTATATAGAATTCTTCTGAAAGAAAAAAAAAGGGAGTGAAAAGTTTCATCCAAAAGGAGTGGGAGATGTCACTTATTGAAAAGGCAGATTTCAGGCATATTTGACAAATGACAGCAGTGACATTTTCAGAATCACAAAAGCCAGAGCAGTGTGCTCACTCGCCTTCTGAGGTGAAATCTCTCCAAGTTGCAAATAGGATTATAAATAAAGTGCTGTTCAAAGAGCAATCACAAAATCATTTTCCGTGAGAAACTTAAAATAAAAGAAAAATATCACATTTACGTTTGCATGATACATTTTATTACCTGCCGCTTTAATCGCCAGAAGAGTCAAGCTTAACAATAATATCAAAGACAGGTATATTATCAAGGTCCACATGTTCTATTTTCCTCTTACTAATGGCCTAACACCAATGCCAGACACAGAAGTTATTCCTGGTGCAATATATCATTTAATTCCCTCTGACAGGTTTACTATTCTTTGAAACTGTAAATTCATTCATTAGATAGAAGAGGCTTATTAAACTCTGATATATTTTTTTTGTTTGTTTGTAAGGACAGACACTATCTCTTTGATGTATAGTACATTGATAAGGAGTGCTCCTGTTTGTATTAATAGAGAAAAATATTGATGACAGCCAAAATATTAAGTGTTTTGCCTTATGTTTCTGATGGAAACCAGTGAAATCAGTACTATAAATTAAGCAGCAGAACAGGTTATGAATGCTGGTGTGGAATAGGGAATTAGAGGTTTAGAGATGTATACTTTACTACAATACAAATTTAAAATTTTGAAGCTCATTCCTAGTTTTCTTAGAAAATACAGCTCTCAGCCGGGTGCGGTGGCTCATGCTTGTAATCCCAGCACTTTGGGAGGCCGAGGCAGGCGGATCACCTAAGGTCAGGAGTTTGAGACCAGCCTGACCAACATGGAGAAACCCCGGGTGCATGCCTATAATCCTAGCTATTGGGGAGGCTGAGGCAGGAGAATCGCTTGAACCTGGGAGGTGGAGGTTGCAGCGAGCCGATATCGCACCACTGCACTCCAGCAAGGGCAGCAAGAGCAAGATTCCATCTCAAAAAAATATATATATAATATATAATATATATTATTTTACATTATATAATATATATTCTATATTATTTTATATTATATAATATATATTATATAATATATATTATATAATATGTTATATTATTTTATATATATTATAATAATATATTATATAATATATAATTATTAAATATAACATATAATTATATTATATAATTATTAAATATAACATATAATTATATTATATAATTATTAAATATAACATATAATTATATTATATAATTATTAAATATAACATATAATTATATTATATAATTATTAAATATAATATATAATTATTAAATATCATATATGATATATTATATATATCATATATGATATATATAATATATCATATATGATATATTATATATATCATATATGATATTTATAATATATCATATATGATATATTATATATATGTCGATTGGATCTCCTGATCTTTTCTCTTGTTGATATTCATTTGCAAGTGAAAGTTGTCCAAGACTGTCTTACCAGTGAAAGGATAGACAGATATGTTAGAAAATATTGCATGCATACAAAAGTTACAAAAAAGATAGCATTAGAAACAAAGACAATGGGATTAATCAGCAGTTATAACACATCTGGAAGATTCCATATCAAGTTAAGAAACCTGCAGAAGATCGCCGAACTCATAAGAAGATCAAGGCCGGGAGTGGTGGCTGGCTCACGCCTGTAATCTCAGCACTTTGGGAGGCTGAGGCAGGCAGATCACGAGGTCAGGAGATTAAGACCATCCTGGCTAACATGGTGAAACCCCGTCTCTACTAAAAATACAAAAAATTAGCCGGGCATGGTGGAGGGGGCCTGTAATCCTAGCTACCCGGGAGGCTGAGGCGAGAGAATGGTGTGAACATGAGAGGTGGAGTTTGCAGTGAGCTGAGATCACGCCACTGCACTCCAGGCTGGGCGACAGATCGAGAAAAAGAAGGAGGAGAAGATCTAATAGTTGATTTAACCTGTGTAATCCCAAAACCCACACTCTGTCCACAACAACATAAAATCTTGCTAAGCACATTGGTCACAACTTCTTAATTATTTATAGCCAGCCTTGGTCTGAGACGCATGTTAGGTGACTTACAAGTATACCAACATTACAGGAAGATTAAATAAAATTTAAATAAAAGCAAAATGAAATAGGAAAATAAGGATGGAAAAATAAGAGAATCTCAAGTCAGTTTAGGACACACCAGTCTCTTTGGAGATGAGTCTCAAACCTGGCTGTGTGTTTTCTAGTGATGAGTAAGAAAACATACACATATTGGTCTCTATATTCTGTTTAAAAAAGCCAACCAGTTATTCCCAAAAATTAGAGCTCTTCTCTACACTCAGTTTGATTTTATCCCCACTGTTCTCAGTTCTAATACAAGTGTATATTTTGATGAACAACACCCCTAACCAAACCCTTTCAAGATAACACGGTGTCAAATTTAACTAGGCTCCCTTGCCCTAAAGTTACATTTACGGTGAGACATTAAAATACAAGTCAATAAAAGCAACTCAAAGGAGAGGATTTTGGAGACTGAGAAAAGAAGGGTGCAAAACATTTACTTCAAGTACACGATTTCTTAATTGTCTGGTATAATTTGGGGCTGGATGTTAAAGTATCCAGAAGACTAGATGTACTGTACTCTCCCCACTTTCTCCCACCAAAAAAAAAAAAAAAAGAAATCCTAAATAAATATTTCTTTACTTAGTTGAGTTTTAAAATGTATTCAGAAGAGTGAATTTAAAATGATAATCCTCAGTAAATAGTTGGATATCGGCGATGCTCTGTGGCCAGGTCATTGTGAATCTACATGTTTCAACAAGCACAGGAGGGTCCAAGTTTGTGTTAATGCATTTAAAATGACCTTGTTAAATAAAATTGCATTATCTGGAATTAAGACATTATCAGGATTGATATGTAGTCTGACTTAGTTCTGCCAAATAGTTACTAGACAGCAGGGGCCTGAAGGAACAGGATGCAGGATATATACACTTAGAAAAAATCTGGAAATGTTTTTCATTTCTGAATCCCCCAATGCCTATGACCACGGCAAAGGAATGGGTTTCAATGAAAGTGTGCAATGTTCTTTTGTATGATTGTAGGGGGATCACTAGAGAGAGACTGGAATCTAGGATCAGCATGAGGGCATTATATATCCCTTTAATTGAAAAGCAGGGTATAAGAGAGGCGGTAGCATTCTTAGACCAAATAAGCAGAGGTCTCTACCCTGGATCCCCCATCTCAGAGGGCCCTACATTTCGGAGAGTCTGATAAAATTATCTTTCTCCCTCTTGTGGCTTGGGATGAAGCCAGCAGTGACAACTAAAATAAGTTCTCCAGCTCATGTTTTTCTCATTTGGAGTGTCCCTGGAGCTGTACATTTGCTCTGCATTGGGTCAATCAGATGCTCCAAGATTTGTGCTTATACAGTAAGTCCTGGGCCCTGTGATTGAGGTGCAGTTTTAGGACAGTGAGAAGATCATTCGACCTGAATGACACAGTTTTTCTTTTGGGTGATTGTGTGAGACTGAGCTGCCAGAATGGTGCTAACACATTGATTTGGAATGACTCTCACTCACTCTGGACCCTGTACAAGTTCAGGACTCTGGGCTACCATCTACCACAGATCCTTGTGTGGGCCTGTGGGCCTGTTTTTGGCCTTCTGTATTGCAACATTAGGACTGCCTCTGACCTTAGGACTCGAAGGACATGAAAGTGGTAGGATGGGAGTGGTGGCAGGATTTTCTTATGGTGGCAGTGCTACCTCTGCTACTGGCAATTTTAAGTCTTTTAGTATAAAAGTTGAACAACATATCTTCCAGGGAAGTCTTCTCATGTCCTCTGTAAGCTTTATGCCGTGCTTGAGGAAGACTCCACAAAACAGTCATGTTTATCTCTTCTGAGGGCTTTTCAGACTGTGGCTTCACAACCAGTTGGCACTTTTAATCCATGTCCTTTCTCAATGTGGTGACAATGTGCATTCTTGACTATTACACTCTGCTGGAGGAGGGAATGTGTGTTCCTTGTGCAGACGGAAATGCCTTTCTCACTCTACACAAAAGGCCATTGCCTCTCCTCCCATGGATGAAAGTATATGGAAGGCAGAGGTGCAGTAAACACTGAAATATTATATTCTAGAGATGTAGTGACAATGGCCTAAAAAGTCCAAAGGAAGACATGATTGGAAGATATGTTGTTCAACCCTTTCCACTAAAAAATTCTGAACAGTAAAATTAGCATGTTCAGAAAAGTAATTATTGTTCATATTTCCTGCATACTCTAGGTAAGACATTAATTTGAGCTCACTATCAAGAAAGCCAAGTTATTTTTGGGAGAGTCATTGGAAGTCAGTATTCATGGGTTGCTCAGTGGATGATGCAGCAGTGAATGGTAGTAGGGAAATGCAAAATAAGAACATGTATTTTGTTTCAATAAAACAAGTTCTAAGGAGCTATGACATTGTGAATAATAACAGCACTGCTAACTTTATCTCATGGTGAAACACTTGAAATTAACCAGGAACGATGCATAGATCATCCAGTCAGGAAACAATAAGGAACCATTGGATTTGAACTACTCTTTAGATTAAATGTACCTAACAGATATATCCAGAACATTCCATCTAACATCTGAAGAATATTCTTTTTAAGCACACACAAACATTCTCCAGAATAGATGATATTTTAGGGCACAAAACAAGTCTTAACAAATCTCAGAAAATTGAAATCATATCAAGTATCTTGTCTCAATGTAATGGTGTGAAACTAGAAATCAATAAGAGGAGGAAAGTTGGAAAATTCACAAATATGTGGAAATTTAAAAATATACTCCTGAACAACCAATAAAGAAGAAATTTTAAAGTCTCTAGACAAACAAAAATAGAAACACATCTTACCAACATTTAAAAGATGAAGCAAAAGCAGTTTCAAGAGAGAAGTTTATAGTAATAAACACCTACATTAAGAACAAATAAATACATGGAAATAAACAATTTAACTTTACACGTCAAGGAACTAGAAGAATAAACCAATCCCAAAGTTAGCAGAAGAAAGGGAATTACAAAGATCAAAGCAGAAATAAATAACATAGGGACTAGAAAAATAATAGATCAATGAAACTAAGAACTGGGTTTAAAGGAAAGATTAACAAAACTAGCAAACCTTTTAGCTAGACTAAGAAGAAAACAAGAAAAGACATGCATTAGGATTGTCGTAGAAACAGAAAAAGTAGATATAAAAGGGACGATTTATTATGGGAATTGGTTCACATGATTATGGAGCCTAAGAAGTGGTATGACATACCATCTGCAAGCTGGAGAACCATGAAAGCCAAAGGTGTAATTCAGTCTGAGTCTGAAGGCCTGAAAACTGGGGGTACCAATAGGGTCAACTTTATTAGAGTCCAAAGGCCTGAGACCAAAGAGTTGTGATGTTTAGGGGCAGGAGAGGATGAATGTCACAGATCTAGAAGAGGGAGAGCAAGTATGTCTTTAATCTGCCTTTTTGTTCTATTTGGGCTTTCAACAGATTTTTAAATGCCCGCCAACATTGTCGAGGGTGGATTTTCTTTACTCAAGTCTACTGACTCAAATGCTAATCTTTTCTAGACACCCTCACATACACACACAGAAATATTATAACAGCTATCTGGGCATCCCTTAACCTAGTCAAGTTGATACATAAAATTTACCATCTCAAGATGGTTATTTAATAAATAAAATAAATAAAATCAGAAATGAAAAATGATACATTGCAATGTAATGTATCGCCACAGAAATATTTTTTTAAAAAAACAAAAACATAAGAAACTAATGGGCAATTATACGCCAACAAATTGGATAACCTGGAAGAATGGATAAATTCCTAGCATCATACAACCTACCAAAACTGAATTACAAAGAAATTAAAAATCTGAACCGACCTATAACTAGTAAAGGTATTGAATCACCTAACCAAGAAAGCCTAGGACCAGATGGCTTCACAGGTCATTTCTACAAAATATTTTTAAAAGTAATGCCAATGTTTTTCAAAATCATCCAATAATTTGAAGAGGAGGGAACACCTTCAAACTCATTTTATGAGACCAGCATGGCCCTGATACCAAGGCCAGACAAGAAGACTACAAAAATAAAAGAAAATTTCAGGGCATTATGATAGTATCCCTGATGAAGATGTAAAACTTCTTAACAAAATACTAGCAAACAAACTCAACAGCATGTTAAAAGCACATGTGCGATGATCAAGTGGAATTTATTCCTGGGACGCAGGGATGGTTCTATATATGCAAATCAATAACTATGATATGTCACACTAACAGAATGAAGATAAAAATCATATGTTCATCTCAATAGATGCAGAAAAAGCATTTGATAAAATTCAACATGCTTTCATCAAAAAAAATCAAAAAATCATATACCTCAACAATATAAAAGTTATGTGTGACAAACCTACAGTGAATATCCTACTCAACATGAAGAGCTGAAAGCTTTCCCTCTAAGATCTAAAACAAGATCAAAATGCCCACTCTTGCCACCTTTTTTTTTTTTTACATTTTCCATAGGTTATTGGGGTACAGGTGGTGTTTGGTTACATGAGTAAGTTATTTAGTGGTGATTTGTGAGATCTTGGTGCATCCATCACCTGAGCATTATACACGGAACCCTATTTGTAGTCTTTTATCCCTCACCCCATTTCCATCCTTCCCCCTAAATCCCCAAAGCCCACTGTATCATTTTTATGCCTTTGTGTCCTCATAGCTTAGCTCCCACACATCAGTGAGAACATATGATATTTGGTTTTCCATTCCTGAGTTACTTCACTTAGAATAATAGTCTCCAATTTCATTCAGGTTGCTGCTAATGCCATTAATTCATTCCTTTTTATAGCTGAGTAATATTCATATATATATATATCACAGTTTCTTTATCCACTCGTTGATTGATGAACATTTGGGTTGGTTCCACCATTTTGCAACTGTAAATTGTGCTGCAATAAACATGCCTGGACAAGTATCTTTTTTGTATAATCCCTTCTCTTCCTCTAGGTAGATATCCAGTAGTGGAATTACTGAATCAAATGGTAGTTCAACTTTTAGTTCTTTGAGGAATCTCCACACTGTTTTCCATAGTGGTTGTACTAGTTTACATTCCTACCAGCAGGGTAGAAGTATTCCCTGATCATCACATCCATGCCAACATCTCCTGTTTCTGATTTTTTTATTATGGCTATTCTTTCAGGAGTGAGGTGATATCACATTGTGGTTTTGATTTGCATTTTCCTGATTATTAGTGATGTTGAGCATTTTTCATATATTTGCAGGCCATTTGTGTATCTATTTTGAGAGTTGTCTTTTTATGTCCTTAGCCCAATTTTTGATGGGATTGTTTGTTTTTTTCTTGCTGATTTGTTTGCCACTCTTGCCAATTATATTTGACATTATACTGAAAGTCTTACCCAGAGCAATTAGACAAGGAAAAAAATGCATTCAAGTAATAAATAAATTGTCTCTGTTTGCAGAAGATATGATCTTACATAGATTTAGAAAACCTTAAAGATGCTACCAAAAAAAATCTACTAGATTAAACAAATACAGTAAATACGCAGAATCCAAAATCACCATAAAAACCAGTTCTACTTCTATACACTAACAACAGACTATCTGAAAAGGAAATTAAGAAAACAATAACATTTACAATAATATATATAAAAAAACCCTCGGGAATAAATTTAACCAAGGAGGTGAGAGATACATACACCAAAACTATAAAACACTGATGAAAGATATTGAAGAAGACACAAAGGCATGGATTTATGTCTCATGTTCATGGATTGGAAGAACTGATACTGTTATAATATTCATACTTCTCAAAGTGATTGCAGATTAAATACAATCTCTATCAAAATTCCAATGGTATTTTTCAATGACAGAGAAAAAGCAATTTTTTTCAAATAGGACCATAAAAGACCCTAAATAGCTAAATCAATCTTAAGTCAGAAGAATAAAGTTTGAGATATTACTGATTTCAAATTATATTACAAAGCTATAGTAATCAAAATAGTATAGTTCTGGCAAGAAGAAGAGACACATAGGCCAATAAAATAGAATAGGGAGCCCAGAAATAAACTTGTGTATATATGACCAACTAGTTTTTGACAAAGGTGTTAAAAATACGAGGAGAAAAGATGTCTCTTCAATAAATGGATATCAACAACTGGATATCAACATGAATAAGAATGAAATTGGACCTTTAAGGAAACAGCAAAAAGAAAAGGCAACCTATGGATTGGGAAAAAGTATTTACAAACCATATATCCAAAAAGAGGTTAATATTAAAAATATATGTTAAAGACTCATAAAACTTAATAGCAAAACAAAAATAAGCAAATAACCCAATTAAAAATGGGCTGAGAATCTCAATAGACTCTTCTTCCAAGAAGACATACACATGGCCAACAGGTATACAAAAAGGTGCTCAGCATCATTAATAATCAGGAGAATGCAAATCAAAACTACAATGAGATAACATCTCACATCTGTTATAATAGCTATTACAAAAAAAGCTAGAAGATAACAAGTGCTGGTGAGGATGTGATAAAAAGTGAAGCCTTATACACCATTGATGAGAATGTAAACTGGAACAGCTATTGTGGAAAACCATATGCAGGTTCCTCAAAAAACGAAAAAT
Organism: Homo sapiens; assembly: GCF_000001405.40. Lineage (NCBI taxonomy): Eukaryota > Metazoa > Chordata > Mammalia > Primates > Hominidae > Homo > Homo sapiens. The sequence continues at coordinate 52,264,796 of NC_000018.10, read as the reverse complement.
AGAACTATCACCTGGATCTACAAATTCTCCTTCTTTGTATCTATCCAGAAGAAAGCACACCCAGGTTCACTGCAGCATTATTCACAGTAGCCAAGATATTAAACAACCTAAGTATCACTGGATGGATAAATGCATAAAGAAAATGTGCTACATATACATACACAAAATGGAATATTATTCAACCTTTAAAAGAAGGAAATTTTGCCATTTACACCAACAGGGATTAACCTGCAAAACATTTTGCTAAGTGAAATAACCGAGACACAGAAAGACAAATACTGCATGATATCACTTACACGTGGAGTCTAAAAAAGTCAAATTCCTATAAAAAGACAATAAGATGGTAGTTACCAGGGGCTGGTGGGGAGGAAAATAGATGTTGGTTAAAGGCACAAAACTGTAGTTACAAGACGAATATATTCTGGAGACCTAAGTTACCACATGGTGACTATATTAATAGTAATGTATTATATACTAAAATTTGCTAAGAAAGTAGATCTCAAGTATTCTTACACACAAAAAAGCTAATTTGAAGTGACTAATATGTTAATTAGTTTGATCATGAAAATCATTTCACAATGTGTAGGTATATTGAAACATCATATTGTATATCTTAAATATATATAATTTTAACATGTCAATCATTTACCTCAATAAAGCTAGAAAGCAAAAGAAAACAAAAACTTTGGGGAGTGTCTGGCCTTGAAGAATGGACTGAATAAAGAAATGTAAGGGAGGTCTTTCCAGGAAAGGCAAGACTAAGAATTTAAGTGCAGAGGTGAGAGAAGGCTGTACTTCAATGGCTGAACTTAAACAATTGAGGAAAACCATTTAGTTGAATATTAGTGAATCAAAAAAAATAAACTCCAATGCAAATAAACAGTCTTAGAAAACAAGAAAAAAAAAAAAAAAAGACTAACAAAAAGCGATGGTAGTTCTTGGACCTGAACAAGAAGAAACTGTGGCTGGACACTAAGAAAATCTACATGTGCACTGGAGGGATAATAAAGTAATGTGTAAATAGCTCTTCTCTACATGTTATTTTAAATTGGAGATCTGCAACTATAGTCCTTTCGCTATTTTATAGCGAAATTATAATTTCGCAGTTATAGTCCATCTGCCTCTGCTTGTTTGTATACAGCCCTATAGCTAGGAATATTTTTTACATTCCTAAAGGGTTGTAACTAACTAAATATACAATATGTAATAAAGACATGCCTTTATGAAGCTCACAAAGCCTAAATTATTTACTATCAGACCCTTGAAATAAAAGGTTTGCCAATGTCACTTTTAAGTCATCATCAAGAATCCCTCCCTTATATAGGCTCTTGAATGTTGTAATAATACTTTTAAACTTGCCGTTTAGAATAGTTTGAGGGTTACAGGAAAGTTGTAAAGATAGTACAAAAAGCACCCCTACACCCCACACCCAGTTTTTCCATTATCAACATCTTATATTTTTAGTATATTTGTTACAATTAATAAGCCAATATTGATACATAATTGTTTACTGAAGCCACACTTCATTAAGTTTTCCTGGCCAGGTGTGGTGCCTCACAGCCTGTAACCCCAGCACTTTGGGAGGCTGAGGTGGGCAGATCACTTAAGGCTAGGAATGTGAGACCAGCCTGGCCAACGTGGTGAAACCCTGTCTCTACTAAAAATACAAAAATTAGCCGGGTGTGGTGGCACGTGCCTGTAGTCCCAGCTGGTTGGGAGACTGAAGCAGGAGAATCATTTGAATCCGGGAAGCAGAGATTGCAGTGAGCTGAGATTGTGCCACTGCACTCCAGCCTGAGCAACAGAGCAAGACTCTGTCTCAAAAATAAATAAATAAAGATTTTCTAAGTTTTCACCAAAAGGGAATTTTCTGTTCTAGGATTCATCCAAGATACTGTGTAATATTTAGTCATCATGTCTCGTTACACCCCCTTCTTAACTGTGCCAATTTCTCAGACTTTCCTTATTTTTTTATAGTCTTGACAGTTTTGAGGAGTACTGGTTAAGAATTTTGTAGAATGTCTCTAAGTTCATCTTTGTGTAAGATTTTTGTCATGATTAGACTGGGGATATGGACTTTTGAGAGGAAGAACACAGAGATAAACTGCCATTCTCATCTGATCGTATCAAAGATTCCTGCTATCAATATAACTTAATGCTGTTGATGTTGATCTTGATCACCTGGTTGAGATACTGTTTGTCAGATTCCTCCACTGTAAAGTTCGTCTTTTCTCCCAGTTGCGTACCATGCTCTGGAAGAAAGTTGCTATACCCAGCACACACTTAAGGAGTACGGACTCATGCTCTACTCCTTTTAAGGGTAGAGTAGCTACATAAATTATTAGGAATTCTTCTGCAATTGGAATTTCTTTATTCTCCCACATTTATTTATTTAACCATTTATTTACACTGGCCTAGAATCATGAATATTTATTTTAAACTTTGAGTTATGATCCAATATCTCTTTACTTTGTTTCTCAAATTGTTCTGTTTTGGCCATTGGGAGCTCTTTCAGTTGGCGCCTGTATCCCTTGACATACTCCCATCACCTTTTTTTTTTTTTCTTTTTTGAGGAATTCTTTGTTTGCTGGCACTAAAAGATTCTCCAAGGTCATCTTGAATATGTATAACCTTTGAAAAATCAAGTTGTTAATACGGATTGGGGGCCTGAGAAAGTATTTGCATGGGTCCCTACATATTCAAGGGAGAGACAGTTCTGAGGAGAATCACAGGGAAGGGAGCAGCAAAATAGAAATTTGAAGAGAGGAGCCAGATATAAACTTTTCCCTCTTAACAATTTTATAGAAAACCATTTCTGCTCCAGAGACCAATTCAGCCATATCAGAAATTCTTTAAATTTTTGCCTCCCAGCTGTCTTGGTTTGCTGATAACATGCAGGATACATAAATGCTATACAATTCCATATTCCATATTATTCATCTGATTATGTGAGGTACCTCACTGAAAGGTAGTTTTAGAATTTTAAATATAGATATTTTTACAAAGAAGAATTTGAATATAACTAGGAAATTATACCATCATGCTTTGCAACAAGTAGGGATGTTTGCTAACATTGCCATATGGATATTTTACTCACCATTCAAAGTGTAGCCTGGCATTAAAAAACAAAAATCCCAAGACTTTTGTAAAAATATTTCTATACTATGCCCACAGTTTGTCATCTTCTTGCTTTTTGGAAATAAAAATGAAACTTTGGTTAAACAGTAAGTGAAAGTAAGATCAAAACTCCTATTTTTTACCCTAAAATAGAGAATAACATTAATATGGACATAACAAAATGCATTTACTGTTATATGGACATTAGAGGAATTAATATTAATGGTTTTCATTCTTTTACAAAATAATAATATAAAATAACAGTAGCATTTTTATCTAAAACATGTTTATATCTCTCATGCAATAGGATCATTAAAATACTTCAGTGAAGAAGAAAAATAAACTTTTCCCCATTTCAAAGATGTAAATTCTAAAACACTGTAAGGTTTAGTAACTGGCAGAAATTAGAATGTAAGGCCGGGGCCGTGGCTTACGTCTGTAATCCCAGCACTTTGGGTAGCTGAGGCGGGTGGATCACCTGAGGTCAGGAGTTCCAGAACAGCCTGACCAACATGGTGAAACCACATCTCTACTAAAAGTACAAAAATTAGCTGGGCATGGTGGCGGGTGCCTGTAATCCCAGCTACTCAGGAGGCTGAAGCAGAGGCAGGGAGAATTGCTTGAACCCGGGAGGCAGAGGTTGCAGTGAGCCGAGATTGTGCTACTGCACTCCAGCCTGGGCAACAGAGTGAGATTCTGTTTCAAAAAAAAAAAAAAAAATTGTTAAAATGTAGTTAAATGATCACTGGCTTACATTTTTCTTTTTCTTGCTACAAAGTGGGTGGATTTTCACAAAGACCACCAGATCAATTTTAAATAAAATAAAGGAGCTCTGGTTTCATTGCACTTCCAAGTTGCAGTATAAATAAATGTGCAACCTTGTTATACTTCTGACATTATAATATTTACATTGGCCTCCTTTAATTCACTCTTCATACTATAACTAGAATGATCTTTTTAAAATGCAAATTTCATCCTGTGACACTCAAATTCCTAATGCTTAAACCATTCTGTTTTCCCATTGCTCTTAGGATATTGATTTGGCTTTAAGTAACTTCAAGTCCCACACCCCTCAAATCTGTATCTATTTCTACCACCTCATCCTGTACCACTCTACTCCCAGCTGTCTCTTCTCCAGTTATATTCATCTTCATGCACATGCCTGCAATTCTCTAACTTTAGTTTGTATGAGAATTACTCAGTGGTCTGGTTAAATACATACAGCAGGTCTGGAGGAAGGTCTGAAATTTTGCATTTTTTTTTACATCATTTCCTTTATTACCTGAAATCAAATTTTTATTATGATTCCCCTACAGTTTTATCCTAATTTATTTTATATTTGAAAATTTTGCATTTCTAATAAGTTCCCCAGTGATGCTCACATTGCTGGTCTGAGAGCCACACTTTGAGAACCACTGACTTGTACCTCCTACATTTCTTCCTGCTACAATTTTTATAAATTGTCTTCCTAAATGTTCTGCTCCTTGATCTAAAAAAATTAATAGTAGTTATAATCTGATCATTGAAGACAGGACCCCCAAATAATCAGTCAATTAGTAAATCTGCATTATGTGCAAGGGACATATTTATATTTGCTAGAAACAAATGTTGTGAGATCAAAATTATTCTTCTCAGTGGTTTACAAGGTTCAAATTAATTGGCTAATTTACAATTGCAATGCCACATTCTGTTGTTTATATACAACTGAATCATAAATTACTACTAGTTTTCATAAAGGGAAATGAAGGAAATTCAAGATTCATGGTTAATATTTCTTTCATATATTCGGGAACAAAAATCCTAAGCTCACAATAGCACCCTCTTATTAATTTTTGAAATAAGTACAACTTCTTGGTTATTTCTGATCTACACTGTATAAGCTTCCTGGAGAACTTATCAGTTCTCCCTGTGTTTGCCCACACTGCTTCCTTCTGCAGTTGCATTGTAGTCAATGGCTAAGATTCCTCTAACTGCCTGTCTATCTCAGTAGACATCTAGATCAGTATGATTCTAATCTGAATTAGTAACTCTTGTTGATGTTCTAACCCTAGGAGGCCAAAATGATAGTCATTGTAGCTACTGTTCAATGAGCTCTGACCACATGCCAGACACAGTGCTAGGTCACTAGCGCCTCAAAGTATATTGCTTTCAGGGTTCCACTCACAGTGTCTCTTGGATATTGGGCCAATTTCATCTAACTACAAAGACTCTTAAATGCTATGCTACGTTCTATAGCCTTGTCCAATTTGTAAATACTGTTCATGCATTGCCTCATATGAACCTTACAACAATTCTGGTGAGTAATCAATGCAGACATTTTTTATCTCCATTTCACAACGAGGGTAGCAAGGCTTACAGAGGTTAAGAAGCAGAACTGGAATCAGAAATCACGTCTTCTGAGCAGTAGTGTGATTCAACATGATAAGATTTTCTAGCATGATACCATGAAGCCATGTTGTACTTTATTAAGGGTTTCATTTTCTGGAATTACCTATATGGTTAACTAATGAGACTGATTCCTGATAATACATTGAGAACTTCTACATTTAAACTTTCTACACTGAGACTCCGAAGAGCCCAGATAGCAAACCCGGAAGAGTTTCAAAATATCTGAAAGAGTATATTATTGGGATAGCTGAATTACATTTTATATTAGTTATGAAAGCATAAGCTGGCGTGACAAAACTCCAAAATCTCAGTGGCTCAACACAAAATAAGTTTATTAATTGCTACACAACACACCACTGCAGGCATTTCTGGTCAACCAGTGGCTTCTCCACATGGGTGATTCACGGACACAGCTTCTTCCATCCTGTAGCCCTGATATCCTTGGAACCTCACAGTCCTCTGTATATAACCCACTTGCTGCTTCTCAGCCTCGTTCTGAATTTGACACACATTCCTTGCACTCACATTCCATTTGTAGAAACTTACTACTCAGAAGTGAAAAAGTCTGAGAAATGTATTAGGTCAGTGCCATTATTTTTAATGGCAAAAGCTGCAATTACGTTTGAATCAACCTAATAGTTCTTGCCTGAGCAGTTACCAGCAACAGCTCTGCAGTATGGAGGGAGGGGACATGAGTTATTGGTGGCAGTTTTAGAGGGTCTCTGCCACACTTCCAATCCAACCGCTCTAGGGAAGATAATCAGCATTGGGATGTCCAAGTTCAGTTTCAGTCCTATTAATTTCTAGTCATACTGTGTCACATATGTCTCAAATGTTCAGTTTAAATGACAAGCCAATATTATATCATCAGTAATTCAATACAGGAGCTATTACTAAATTATAAATACAGATATTGTGATTACAGAATTTTCTGGGAAAAGAAAGTGGAAAGTCTTTAAAAACTCCTTGATTATTAGACTAACCTTCACATGTTTTCAGGCATTTCCACATTATCTCTAAATCCTGCTGTCTTTTTGTTTCCCCTACAAATGGTGAATGAAACACCAGTTTTAATGGGCCTCAAGGTGGACAGGGATGGATGCAGAGAACTTTCAGGGAGTGAACAGCGACGTGAGTAGTAAAGGTGCCTTTGTAATATCCTCATATTTATAGGAATTATTTTTTGAGTGCTCAATATGTATCAGGGACAGTGCTTAGTGATTTATATACATGATAAGCTTTAATGTGTACTCCAGTGCTGATATAGTTGCAATACTAATCCTCATTTTGTGAACTTCTGTGCCAGGACATGGCAGAAATAAGTGGTAGACTCAGGCTGGATGCTGTCTCTGGAGCTCATGCCCTGGAATCTGAAAGGTAGGGCCATGGACTCTGTTGAGCGAGTCAAGACATGCTGTGTGCACCTAGCATTTGTAAACTCCTGGCTTTTATGAAATAAAATGAAACAATTAAAAAACACCTACTTGATTATATAATTTGGGATTTCATCCATAAGCTTCTCTAATATGGCAGGGAGTCCAGATACACTTTAAATAAAAGTAATGAACAATTACCAAACAGTATCCAGTATGGATGACTGATGGCTATTCATGTACTGAAATCTAAAAGTCAGGTGTGGGCCGGGCATGGTGGCTCACACCTATAATCCCAGCACTTTGGGTGGCCGAGGGGGGAGGATCACTTGAGGTCAGGAGTTCAAGACCAGCCTGGCCAACATGGTGAAATCCTGTCTCTAATAAAAATGCAAAAATTAGTCAGGAATGGTGGTGTCCACCTGTAATCCCAGGTACTCTGAAGGCTGAGGCAGGAGAATCGCTTGAACCCAGGAGGTGGAGGCTGTAGTGAGCCAAGATTATGCCACTGCACTCCAGCCTGACAGAGTCAGACTCCTTCTCAATACATACATACATACATACATACATACATACATACATAAATTCAGGTGTGGGCATGATAGCTGTCATTGGTCAGTTCTCTTTTTTAAACTGTGTGCTGGCCCCACAGCATACCCAGCCAGGTACAATGTGAAAGAAAATGTCTTGATTTTAGTCTTTGCTGGGCTCCAAAAGCAACACACTTATGCAAAATAAAGATTCTTTCCAGACCAATTTCTTTCCCATCCTTGTGTGTTTCGTTTTGCGATTGCTCTCTTCTGAACTTTACAGCACATTACTATACCACGACAGTTCCTACGTGTTTGGAAGAGGTTCAATGCAGTGATGTTTTACTCTCTCCCCACATGAAAATCCACCAAGCTTTCAGTTGAGTTTCAGATGGCCTATCCCACTGACTCAAAAGAAGAAGGGCGTAACATGACTGAAATGTCTACAATACAGTTTGTTTTGATTGGGAAAGAGAGGATTATTCTATTTGGATGGCATGATGTCTTTGAACCTTGAAAAAGATATTTAATTCTGTTTGACTAAAACAGCACTGACTCAGGAACACAGCTACATAAAGTAAAACGTATGAGATAAGATTGCTTTATTTTATATACACACATATAAATTGGCTGTGGAGATATTTATAGAAAATATGTCTGATATTTTCAAAAGAAAATGCTACTGCTAATGATTCATTGACATGTTTTCAGGCTTTTTATTTTTCTGATGCAAAACAATTTCCCTGAAAGGTTGAAAAGCATTTGAATCAACTTATAAAATAGACGGTAAGTGGTTTGAGCTCAGCTAAGAAGGTGACGTGTTGGTCTTAATGAGGTGCCCATTTATGAAAGAGCATTATCATATTTACACAAATCATTTGTTTTAGTGACATTTGAAACAGCCATTAATGCAAAAATTTTACACCTGTAAGTCCCATTTTACCATTTTTACCACATTTCCATGCATTTTGACAAGTTTGACTGCCCACTCTAAGCTTTCCCCTTCCTAATAAGGAGCATTCATTTTATTTACACACAACTGCTTGTTGAGAAGCATTCATTTTATTTACACACAACTGATTGTTGAGACTCAGAAGATTTTAAACAAGAACATTGAGAATCTTCATTCTGCCTTATCGCTTAAGACAAATGAGCTAAGTTTGAATACATTTATAAATTCTTCTTTTCCTTGATCTTTTCTTCTAATTGCTAACATAGTTTAGACATAATTTTCTTTTTTCAAGTTAACAAGCAAAATAATTAGTGCTTACTGTGTGAAAACTTTCATTCAGAATTATGTGGTATATACCAAAAAAACGTGATTTCTATTATTGAGATTATATAAGATCTAAATGCAGGAATGGGAGAAAGCTGGTCTATTGCAAAGAAAGCTACAAGTTTCCCTTTAGATGCATTTGATTGTCAGGAACAGTGGTGCTCTGGAAGAAGAACCATCTGAAGAAGGAGAGCTCAAACAACGTCTAAGTGGGGCTAGTTTGTGTCTCAAGCCAAGAGCTCATCACCCAATCATCTTAAGCTCTCAAAATATATTGCTATGAAGACACTAGCCTGGAATGTAGTTATTTGTGCTCCCCTGTCTACAAAGAGAAGTTTATTTTTCTTCTGGGTTTCTGTGATGGGATAGATATTTCTATTTGACTTGTAAACAGATAAGTGCTCACTTTGTGAGGAATGTGGGATCAATTGACAACCAGTTATGAAAATGTTGAACTTTTAACTCTGAATCTACTCTAGTCTATTAAAAAAAAACTAATCAAATCATTGCAAACTTCACTGTATTAGTCCCTTCTCACGCTGCTACGAAGACATACCCGAGACTGGGTAATTTATAAAGGAGAGAGGTTTCATTGACTCACAGTTCTGCATGGCTGGCCTCAGGAAACTTACAATCATGGCAGCAAGGGAAGCAAATATGTCCTTCTTCACATGGCTGCAGGAGACAGAAGAATGAGAACTGAGCAAAGGGGGGAAGCCCCTTATAAAACCGTGAAATCTCATGAGAACTTACTCACTACCACAAGAATAGCAAGGGGAAACTGCCCCTATGATTCAATTACCTCCACCAGGTCCCTCCCACAATACATGGGAATTACAATTCAAGATGAGATTCAAGATGAGATTGGGAACTACAACTCAAGATGAGATTTGGGTGGGGACACAGCCAAACCATATCATTCACTATGCCATTTACTTCAGTTGATCTCTGCACAATGACATGTGTCCTCCTCATCCCCACATGAGGTTTAGATTCAAAGCACAAGATGCCCTCCAAGTTTCCTTAAACTGCTAATGTCCTATGACAGTATGATTCTAATTATTTTAAATCTGGTATGACACAAAGCGGAACTCTACTCATTCTTTGTTAGTGTGACATCCAAAATGCCTGACCCCCTTTGACTTAAGTAGACACACTATAACAGCATATTCAACATCACAGGAAAAGACAGATTGCTATCACCTACTTCCCTGTTCACAACAAAAATAAAACTTCATTTTATTTCAGGAAGCTTTGGTCTGAACTACTTTTCTTTTATATAGACAGTAACCACAAAACGGAAACCAAAATGATTATAGGCATTTCTTGTGACTAAAATTCAGGTATACTATCTATATACATGGAATCTGCAAATTTATGATGAAGCAGTTTCCCTTCATTGAATCACATTTCTTGAGGCAGTTTATTATCTGAAATATTTCCTTGAAAATGCCATGACTAACTCTTACATCCTGTGTCTGCTGGTCCCATTCTGTCTAATGCACGTGGGGATTCTCCATGTACCAGCAAAGGTGGTTGCTGACAGTTGTAGACTTAGGTATTTTTGGCTCACATTCCAAGAGAAATTGAGAACTACATTTTATCTTCCAATGCAGAAAATTCCAGGGGAGGCTTGTAATTGGCTACGTTTTATGATTAGTAGGTGCATCACACATCTCTTTGTAGGTGACTCCATATTACAATTAGTCCAGCTTGTGTTCCACACCCATGCCTGTTACTGCGGGAAAGGAAAGAGCACTGTGTTTGATAATCCACAGCAACATGGAGAATGGCATATGTGTTTCAAAGGAAATTGCATATCATTTCCAGGAGAAAAAAGAAAATATATGTTGGGCAGACAAAAATCCCAGGACATACACTATATTAATTAGGTACCCCAGTATATCAAGATGGTAGTTTTCTGAGTTCATAAAGAGGTACATTGGCCTTGGTCAGTCTTCTTTTCTAAAGTATAATCCTCTTAGGCGTACTACATAGTGGAAAATGTCATCTGTAGCTTGATGTACACATTTGTTTATCACTAATGGCTATTATCTATGAAACAATAGGCACACACACATATACCACATATACACCAGTATAATTTAAATTTTATTTTATTTAAAAATATGTTTCTTTCTTCCATTAAAGCAATAACTAAGAATTACATTTTTGTAAGTTTTTAGTTTGAAGTATTCAAAGTGTTTTTCTTATCAAGAATAGCATTACTTAGAAGAACCTACTATGTACTCTAATGAAATGTAAGCCAATCATATTCCATGTGACATTTGCTAGTTGCCAGAAAATAAAGAAAATAAAAAAATACACCTCAAGGTTGACTATTAAATGGCATAATACTTCTCTTTATAAAAGCACCGGGGAAGGCCTAGCCAGATCTGTAAAGCTGCTTAAGGATGCTTTCCAAATGGATGATTACTTCCATGATGTGACGTGAGCAACATTTGCTTAACTCTACATCCTTGGAAATACACTCAAGAAGTATGTTCACCCTTGTTGTACTTTACAATTCCCTAGGGAGTTAAAAAATTTTCCTTGGGCCCAATTCCAGAACTACTTCCTGGACATGGGCCTGGACCCTAATAGTTTTTAGAAGGTTTGTGATTCTAACAGCAGATTGTGTTTCCAAAAGTTCCCATGCTAAGAACAACCAGCCTAATGTTAAGGATTTGAAATCAAATCATTAGCTCAAATGCAAATATGTTACCTGAGAGGATTAGTACAGAAAATCAGTGTGTGCTAATATCAGGTTAGCCATTTTCAACTGGGGGCAATTTTACTTCCCTGGGGATATTTGGCAACATCGGAAGACATTTTTGTCTGTCACAACTTGATGAGTGCTGTTGGCGTCTAGTGGGTAGAGGCCAGAGATGGCACTAAACCCCCTGCAATGCATTGCTCAGCCCTGCACAGCAAAGACGTTTCCAATCAAAATGTCAATGTTGTGTAGGTTGAGAAACAGTGCCTAAGCCAGAAGGCACAGACTAGGGGCAGAGACAGAACCTGAGAAGTATGACTTTTTTCCCTGAAAAAGAAGGGTCCATTAATGTGTTGAGTGTTCTTGCAATCTAACAGGCAGCAAGAATTATTGCAGATTTGTTAGGATAGACTGGAGAAGGACATAAAAGGGGCAAAAGAGTTGAGAACATTGCCTATAGCCATTCAAATTAACAGAAGGCATCTAGATTTATAGAATGTTTGCCCTGTTTCTCGAACTATCAATGCAACACAGGCAAAAGATCAATACATCCATTCATGTTTTCATTACAAATTTCAATTCCTAAAAAAGTCCAGAAATTCCAGGTTGTTAAGAGGAAGAGAATCATGCCAAGCTGATGATAATTGCTTTGTAAAGTTAGAGATTATGGTTAACAATAGACTTTATTATCTTTCACCACCACCATTTTACACACACACATGCGCATGCACACACACACACGTTGGCTGCTCTAGAGATTCAAATCTCATTGGTGCAATGGATTTAGCATCTTTCTTTCATCTAATTTAAAGTCTCTTTCCATTTTTTTCAGCTTGAGCAAAACTGAGAAACTCTGCTTTTTGCTCTTTGACCTAGGAAAGCAAGAAAAGCCTCACGGCCCAAACTACTAATGAAGATATACAAAGCCTATACTGCAAGAAAACAAAAAGCTAAATGGAGATGAAAGCTACCTGGTGGGTGTCAATGGTCTGATGTCATTGAGGAAAACTTCACTGCATTTATTCAATACATAGAAGATGTCAGTCATGTTCCCAACTCTGTGCTACCATCAGAAAAATGGTAAATGAAAAAGGAAAACACAATGAGTTGCCTTTCTCGTGGCCAAAAACTACACAAAATACTAATGATGATTATCTTGGGTGGTAGAATTCAAGATAACTAAATTTCTTCTTTATACATTTATATGCCTTCCTAATGTGTTACAGTGAACGCAACGTGTCTTTTTAATAATTTCATTTAAATAAACAGCAAGAATTTCATGATTCTTTCATGAAATAAGTTTGTAGACATATGGCTTAATTTTCCTAAAGCCTAAATTTAAACAAATCACACAGTCATCATGTAGAGTCAAGTCACAGGAGTGCCCAAAAGGATGAACAGGTGGACTGCTCTAAAACTGATGATCTGAAATCCATTCTAAAACTAAAAAGACCATTAGGTCTTGGGTGTGTCCTCCCCAAGAGCTGAGGTTGCTTCACAGGGCTGGGTGGCATGTTAGCTCTGCCTTTCCTCCCCACTTTCTCTTCTCCTGACTCTCCTATATCCAATGTTCCACTTACACGTAATTTTCCCAACCTACAATTCCATCTATGTTTCTCACTTCTTTAGAAACTCAACTTGAAACCTCCTTCAGGGAAAAGCTTTTGAAATATTTAGACATTTTACGGGGGAGTCTAACTCTGAGAAATTTAAGGATAAGATCTGTGCTTTTAAATGATCTAGATCATGCTTCCAAGAATAACTCAAATTGAGAATAATAAAAACAAGGAGCTCACAATTCAGCAAGCTTCTATTTTGTAGAAGAGTGAATAGAATAACACCATCTAATTCTACACAAAGGGACTGTTTTATTTTGGTCAGCTTGCTACACATGTGTTAAGTTTATGCAGGTTCCATTATTAATTAATGTGTGATTTTTAAAATGCACGTACACTCAGCTCCAGGCTTATACTCGATTGTTCCAGCTGCCAATCATTCTCAATTCTGGTTGCATATAAGAATGGCCTGGAAAATAATTTTAAAATGCCAAAGCTTGAACTCCACTGGAGATGATTTAATCAGACTTTTTGGGAGAGTGGCCTGGGAATGGGTATGTTTGAAAAGCTTCCCAGGTGATGCTAATGTGTAACCAGTGTCCACATCCTCTGAGCTAGGGCATAAAATATTTATAGTAAGAAGCTAGTCTCTTTTCTATCCTCTCCCCTAGTACTCTTTATCCAGTGTCTCCCCATACAAGCACACCCATCAAGACAAGCAAGAAACATGCTTTGTTTGATTCGTTGACTTGCTTTGGCTATAGCAGTATAAGTCATATGCTATTTTTCAAAGTCTCACACCTGAAAAATAGAGAAAATGATGGCTGACCAGAATACTCACCAGAAGAGTGGGAGCTTCCCAAACTTACTGATGATGGTAGTGAGGAAAGAAAACAATGGAAGGAGTGTTCCTGGTGCAAAAGGAAACCTTTGATTATTTCAGGTCTCCAGATTTATAAGGGATCTATGTAATTCTCTGGAGCAGTTGCCCAGGTTTTCAGCTCTATTATAAATTTTCATTATTCTTGACCATAGGGCCCTTTCATAGATGCAGAAGAAACTCTGATTTCTGAAAGTCCTTTCTTTTACATTCATTCTATAAGCCCAGCAAAGCCACATGGGAGTGGGTCAATGCATCCTAACCCGTGTTTTCTTTCATTTTCTTCTAAGTCCTTGAGAGGCGTTAGGATATGTCATAGGATTGTAGGGCAAGCCTTTCCTATGTTAGGATATCTCTGTGAGCACATCACTTCTGGGACAAGTTGAAATCCACGAGACACTGCCTTTAATAATTCAATAATCTTAGCAGCAGAGTTACCCACAAAGTTATGTCTGCCAGTGACTTCAGGAGGCAAGACAATAATTTGGTTGATGTTTGGTCTGAATAACAGGCTGCATAGTCTGACACTAGCAAACCCAATAGGATGAAAACAACTCACTACGCGAAGAATAATTCAGCAGGAGTTGAGCCTTAAACTCTAGTCAGCTCTCAATGAGTCCCTACCCTCTCAAACTCCACCTACTCAAATGCACAGCATGGTAGATTAGTAATCCAAAGACCCCCTGAGCAAACTAAACACACGTTTTCTTTCTTCTTTGGGATGAACAAAACCCACAGAGCCTTTCTTCTTGCAAGATTCTGTGACCCTGAAATCTAAGTAGATTTTTTTTTTAGACTGACTGGCAGCCCATTACTAGCATTTGCAAGTAGAGAAAATGTTTTTACTTTAGAGATTTAATTCTAAAAATGAAGAGAATAAGCTGAGGACTGTACCCAGCAGAAATCAAAATAAGCATTTGGAGAAAATTACCCGTTGCTGATATGTGGGAAATATTTATATCCACAGTTGAATTTTTCTTTATAAATTTTAATCATGAGCATTAAGGCCATTCAAGCATCTTCAAAGTCAGGTGCTGGGAAAGGTGATCAGGGGAACAAACCAGAGGGTGGAAGAGAGAACAGAGTGCCATTTTTGCTTGTGGCATAAACACATGAATGCTACTCCACCCTCCTCTGCCTCAGTTTCACCAATGTAACAAATGGCTTATTCTTGCTATAAATAAATACTCTCCACTGGACTTTCTGCCTCCAGACAATCCCCTGTAGAGACCTCCCTGGACCCGTGTCTAAACACTGCAGGAGCTAGAGAACTAGAGTAAAGGAGGAGGATTCCCAGAGCAGATCCCTGTCCACTCTTGACTTCAAAGTGAGGGAGGAAGGGAGGAGTAATGAAACCAACACTATTCTTTCCCCACTGCAGGTCACTAGAGCCTTAAGTCTGGCCATTGAAAGAGAAGACGGATTCGTTGAATCTGACATGAGATTGGAGTTTTTAATGTGCTCTAGATTGAGATTTTTATAATAAAAATAGGTCAGGGAGTTTTGGAATCCACTCTAGAACCTATTAAGGTGCCTATTAAACAACATAAAAAGGAGATTCAACAGAACAAACTTGGAACTAGCAATATAGACCTATATGGGTTTTTTAAATCTTACTTAATGTGACACTATAAATAGAATATATGTAGCCTATGAATGTAGATATGCTTTGTCATTTATTATGTTGTTACAAGGATCTACCGTAATTTATTTAACTATTTCTATATTGATAGATGTTTACATTTTATCAACAGTTTTTAATAGTTTTTGCTACAATAAGCAATTCACTGATGAACAATGCTTATTGCAGCCTAAAATTCTGTAGTTCTATAAAATTATCAGTCATACGGGTTAGGGCCCACCCTAATGATCTCATTTTAAAGACCCTATTTGGAGATAGAAAATACAGTCATATTCTGAGGAACTGGGTGTTAAGATTTCAACATTTGTAGTATTGGGGGACAAAATTCAGTCCATAGGAAAACGTATTGGGTTTCTGGCTTTTTTTCATAGAGACAGGGTCTTGCTCTGTCACTCAGGTTGGAGTGAAGTGATGCCATCATGGTTTACTGCAGCCTCAAACTCCCTAGGTAAAGTGATTCTCCTGCCTCAGCCTTCCAGGTAGCTGGGACCACAAGTGTGCTCCTTGTCACCTGGCTAATTTTTAAATTTTTTGTAGAAACAGTATCTCGCTATGTTGCCAGGATTTCTCGAACCCCTGGCCTGAAGAAATCCTCTTGTCTCAGCCTCCCAAAATGTTGGAATTATAGGCATGAGTCACTGTCACTGGCCCCACTTTACTATTTTTTTAAAGTAAGAACTAAATAAATATAAAAATCTTGGTACAACTAGGTACCTTTTCTATCTTGAGTTACTCCAATTTTCCCTCTCTTTCCTTCACACTTGCCACCCTCCAACCCCCGAGTTTGAGAATATCACAGCATTCTGAGTCACCTTGGACAGCTTCAGTTAGGGTTAAAAATTGTTTTAAAAGACTAATCCTTCTCTCATGCTTAAGGGTTCTGGATTTTAGCCTCTGGACAGCTTATTATCAAGGCTTTTATTTGGCTTTTGACATTTATCTAGTATGATACACCTTTAACTGTCAGCTTACTGTGCATCAAACCAAAGGTTATATTTACCCTTATAAATTCCTGCTCAAGACTTTGCTTCCTTTCTCTCTTGCAGCAAAGCAGAGAGGAAAAAGAGAAAAAGATCATGTCCATGTCTGCCCAGGAGCAACATGGATTTCAAGGGTAGGTTTCTCTCAGCAGAGAGTTTTCAAGTTCTAATTGGCCTTTTCTCTTTGATAATGTGCTCCCTTTACTGTGTGCCTTCATGCTGGTCTATGGCTAGATGCCCATAGAACGTATTCCATTGAAACATTAAAGAAATCCACATTTTATAACTTGGCTTTTGATGTAAACTGGGAAACTTTATAATAGTTTGATATTGCTAAATTTCCAGCTTATATATGAATGTAACTTTTAAAAGAAAGTGTTAGAAGTTGTGGGGTTGAGTTGTCTGGGAAACATCCCCTAAGACAGAGTTAGGTGTGCAAAAAAGTTTCCTAGGTGGGGGAGAGAACTAGGAAAGGGGGAATGGTCAGAGTATGATGGACACCTGACAAATTCAGGCAGAGAGAATGAGTTCTGTCAGAGGAGTCCCAGGCTGTGTAAAATGGCTATGCTCTTGAACCACCAACTTGAATCACCAATAACCAGTGGTTATGGCCCAGGGACCACTCAGAGGAGACTACGGCTTCAGCTACCACCACCTTGCTCAGTCATTGGCTTTTCCAAACATGAGCTGGGCTCTGAAAAGTTCTGACAGCCAGAGTTCATCAGTTAAGGACATGCCTTAGAGCTTAACTGATGGACTCTAGCAGTCAGCTTTTCTGTGGGAGAATGAGGAACTCTAGCTGTCAACTTTTCTATAGGAAACCAGATCAGTTTTCCCATAGAACTGATGTTTATGGTTTTTCAATAAATGTTGAAATCAACCATCCCAGTCTTAGAGCTTGAGAAACTTACATTTGTCTTATCTGAGTTCCTTTCTCAGGAAACCGACCATCAGGCCTCCCAGATAGTATCAAAGAACTGAAAATTACCAGATCATTGCATCCAAAAAAAGAGACACCAGACGCCTAACCTATCATGATTGCCTAACCAACTACCTGCTTCCTGTTGACCAACTCTTCTTTCTTACCTTTCCTAATCCCTGTTTTCCTGCACATAGTTTCCTTCCTTCCCTACTATATAAATACTTAATTTTAGTCAGTTGGGAGATGGATTTGAGACTTATCTCTCCGTCTCCCTGCTGATGTCACTTGCATTAAAGCCTTTCTTAGCTGGTAGTACTTGTCTCAGTGATTGGCTTTCTGTGCAGCAAGCAGGTGGACTTTGGCAGAACTCCTGGCATTTAGCAACAAGGGGAATCGCAGCTGTATAGCTCTGTGTACGTCACATATAGCTTTGAAAACAGGAATCCAAAATGATTTGTTATTTGTGTGTGAATGTTTATTTTAAAATGTTGATCATATTATTTATTGTCAAAAGTAGAACACTTTGAGATAAAAAGAGATAGTTATTAAAAATTATACCAGGATTATGGGTCTATATGATCCCTTTGCTGTATGCCTGTCACCTTCATTACTTATAAAGTTCTACAAGTCCTTAGGAGATTCATCCATGCATTCCCCCATTAATTTCACCCATGGTTACCATTTACTTTTTATGGAAAAGTCAAACTTGGATGTTTTGTGGAGACTACATTAAAGCAGCATATTTGAAATAAAAATGGTGTTCTTGTGTTACCTCTTTTCCCTCTTTCTTTTCCTGCTTCCGTGGTGGTATTGTTAGTACTGCTAGTTACAAGTCCCACACAACTAATTCTCAATCTGCAATCTGTATGTTCTGCATTCTGTAAAGCAGCTCCTTAAGGGTTCATACAATTCATATGAATGTATTTCTTAATTTCTGTTTTCATTTTGATGTCTGTAGATGTAAGCATATTCTTGGCCATTTGTGCATTCACTTAAAAAAATTAACATAGAATTCCATTGCTTTAACTTGCATTTAGCCTTATCATCAGGTTGGCACCAGGTAAAAACACTTTAATAATTACAAACTAAGGAGAAGAACACAGAAACACATTTGATACATAAAGTATGCTCTTATGCCAAGTGAGGGCCAAATTATTTCACAGTGTGCTGAACGAATAAAAGTTTTACAGATGTTTTGATTTCCAATTGCCTAGGATACTATGTAGTCACAAAATGTGTTCATCTGTAAACTTTTATTTGTTTAAATAAAATAAACAAATGAAACATTGTTTTACTTGTTTATAGATGAACACATTTTGTGAGTATGTAGCAGCCTAGCAATTGGAAATCAAAACCCAGGTTTTTGTAGTTAGTATTCCCTACACTAATGTTTTGAGAAATAACTGGTTTCAGCCTCCTCAAAAACATTTATGTTAAATTTATTAATTTTAATGCTCATGAATTTGTAATTGTGTTTGCATTTAGCAATTTGGTTTTGTTTATTGTTGATAAAACCTATAATATTAGGAGCTTATACTTAAAAAATGTGTAACAGCTTAATATAAATGAGTTAAGTAAATACTATGATTTCCAGACAATTTATTTTCCCTTTGAAAGGTATCAAATTCATTACCAGCTACTCTTCTACATCAGTGATGTATTTGGTGCATTGGCCTGTGTGTATATGTTTGTGTTTGGGTGAATAGAAAAAGACCAGAATGTAGGTAAAGAAAATTTAAAAAGTATCAAATTAAGGAGTGGCAATGTATAATATGGCAATGATTAAACTTGCCAACATTAAATTATGTAAAATTAAACCTGAAAAAATAGAGGGGAAAAGAATAAATTAACGGTGAATCCAATCATCTACCTTCAGTAATATCAATGGATAAATAATTAATCTGTGTCTGTACTACTTTTTACTCAGGCCTTCCACATCAGATTATTTAGAATCCAACCCATGATATTACACCATTTTGTCATAAATATTTTAATATATAGTTCAGCCATATAAGGACTCCTGCATTTCTAAACATTACTTCAATGGCATTACTCCACCTAAAAAGATGGCAATAATTTCTTACTTGGATTAATCAACTGTCCAGTATAAAATTTCTTCCAATAGTCTTGTTACTTGTTTCTTACAGTTTTACTAATTAGCATCCAAATAAGGCCTGTAAATTTTATTTGTTGGATTTGTTCCTTGAGTTTCTTTTACTCCATAGGTCTCCTCTTCATTTTTTTTTCCTTTTAATTTATTATTGCAGAAACCAGGTCATTTAACGTGTGAAGTCTCTCAGAATTTAATTCTTACTGATTGCAATATCTTGGTGTCATTTAACGTATTTTTTGTTCTCTGTATTTTCTGTAAATTGTTAGTATTTAGGGGCTTATTCTGACTCAGGATTGACTTTTTTGGCTGGCTGGAAATTTTTAGAGGTTACAGTTGTATATTTCCATCTGGAGTTATACAATGTTTAGTTACCTCCTTGTGCTACCAGCAGCTGTGGATGATCATTCTCTAGATCTATTTTTTTTTCAGTGGGAGGTTGTAGAATGCTGATATTGCAATTCCATCATTCTTTCTTTGCTTATTGACTAGAATACTTCTAGAATGCTTATCGGGAATTTGATTACCTTCATATAGAGTTTGTAAAAGAAAGGTAGGTTAAATACAGGGTTTCCTTTTTTTTTTTTTAACCCGTTTTCAAAAAAATATGAGTTGGTGCTTTATCATCCTGATGGAGTGTACAATGCATTTTATTAAGTATTATTATGGTATTTAAATTCTGGAAACTACCTATATCAGCACAAACACACATTTGTTTTTACCCACAATACCTAGACGCTAGCCTTCAATAAAATTTAACAAATACCACTATCACCAAAAATATGATTACTGAAAAGCCTTTATTTTTTTTTCCAGTTCTCATATGTCCTCAGGAAATATCACACTAGAAATACAGTCAAATTACAAAATTTTTAAATCCCTTGATTGGTTTCTCTCTGCAGTTTGGCACTGACTGGATACAAAAATAGGTTTATTTTATTTTACTTTATATTTTTAAACTTTTAAAATAAATAAATTGTGCTTTTAAGTCACATAAAATTTTTGAATAATTTTGAAAGTTGAACCAACAAAAAGCAAGCATATTCAGAGAATCCTGATTTTATTCATATTCACTTTAACCTCTTTCCTCCTTCTTAAGAAGTGATTTTGGTTTATCAATTTTTTCAAAATACAAACAAATATGAGTATACGGGTGTGTGTATGTGTGTGTGTGAATGTGGGTTAAGTGGGTAAGTGTTAGCAAACTATACTTTTCTTCCCTTTGCTTTTCCATTCAATAATATATTCAGAAGATCAATTCATAGTAGTATATTTTTTTTTATGTTGCACAGTATTCTACTGAGTGAACATGCCACGGTTGATTCAATCAGTCACATCTTGGTAAACATTTGGGTCATTTTTAGTTTTTGGCTTTTACAAATAGTGGTACAATCAGTAGCCTTGTGTATATATCCTTCTATAATAATAACTGAATGTTAAAAATTGTCTCAGACTACCTTAGGCATCTGAAACCAGAGGAATATAAAAACAGGGTTTACATCTCAAATGGTTCAAGTTTATAACTCCGTTTTTCTCTATGTCAACTTAAATTTTCTATTTTCAATCTCCATCCTATCAAGAAGTCTAGAAACAATTTCTATCTTTTGTAGAGTCTTCCTCGTTTCCCAGTTTGTGCTGTATCTTTAGAAACTATACATAGTATTTCCTGGAAGGAAAATGAAGCCAATCAGTTTCCTTGTCTTTAGTCCATAGACGTAGCTACTGAGACTACAGCATTCCAGTTAGTGTAACTTGTAGTGGAGAACGCTGATATTGCAATTCTAATGCAATTGGAATGCTTGTCCCAGTTCTCTGCTGGGACCTTTTCAAAGTTTCTCTACCTTGGTGAATTGTGCAGGAATTATGGATTTTTCCTCTGACTCTGCTCAGTAATCAAGATGTATTGTTCTATCACTCTAGGACCCACAGGCCATTCTGTTTCCATCACTCTACTCTCCCCACAGACCAAAGGAGTGCACCTACTGTCATGGAAATCTTTCTTCTCTCACTTCTTGCCAAAATATTTTGTCCACATCCAGAAATGTTAAACCCCTTGAGTGTCTTAGCCTTTTCAAAATAAAACCTGAAAGTCTCCCTACTTTCCCTCCTGCTATATTCCTACCCCGGGTCAATGATACCTGCTTGAATGAAAGGAAATGAAAGGAAGAAAAAAAAACTGGGTTGGACATAGCAAAATATCATCTGGACACATGTTACAGATGTGTACATGTGTACATTAACAGGAAGGTTAATACCTTCCTGTTCATTTCCTTAGGGAGTCTTCAATTCTTATTAAACATTAGAATCATAGAGGCAACCAAAGGAGAAAGTAAAGAGCCTTGATTTCAAAAGTCCCTGGATGTTTTCCCAAGTCTTCAACTGATTGATTGCACAACCAAAAGCTAATGTAGTTATTTGTTTATTCAGATCCCTAGATACATAGATACACAAGAGGGTGTGTACCAGGGATCACAAGGATGCTCACATATGAAATTCATCAATTGTAGGCACTCAAGTTTATCACACATACACAGGTAATATCTTGTTTATCCCCATTCTGTGGTATCGAATCACCTGCTAAAGTGGTAAGTCGAAGACTGCTGGTGAATTTCTATGTATAAATTTAAGTCCAGTTTTCTCAGGACTTGGTAGCAAAGTCACAAACCTCAACCTTACTCATTTCTGCATAGGCACCCAGTATACTTTGTGTGTGTGTGTGTGTGTGTGTGTGTCTATTTGAGGCCAGCTTGTCTTTACAATCCACTCCAATTTCTGGAGAAGAGGAAGGGAAGGGAAGAAGAAGAGTATTTGCCTTTTCATATCTGTTTTCCAGGTCAGATGAGTTCAAGTCTTCCCGTTTTCTTGGCCATAAGAACTGGGAAGTCTTTTTTCTGCCAGTCTTTTCAGGCAAGAAAAGGAATTAAGAGAAAAACTGTTATTCTCCAGTTTCTCTGTTGCTGTGAAGCTCTAAAGCATCGTTGCAAAAAAGGAAGAGACTTTCTTGTCTGTGTTTTCTAAACATGCATATTTATCTCTTCACCTGTCTACTGTACTATGAATGGCAATGAGCTCTACTTGGAAGTTCAAGGTCCACTCTATCATCTTACCCGCTATGTGATCTTAATTAACTACTTAACATCCCTGAACTTCAATTTTAAAAGGATGAGTTCATGTCTTTTGCAGGGACATGGATGAAGCTGGAAACCATCATTCTTAGCAAACTAACACAGGAACAGGAAACCAAACACCGCATGTTCTCACTCACAAGTGGGAGTTGAACAATGAGAACATATGGACACAGGGAGGGGAACATCACACACCGGGGCCGGTCGTGGGGTGGGGAACTAGGGGAGGGATTGCGTTAGGAGAAATATGTAAATGTAGATGACGGGTTGATGGGTGCAGCAAACCACCATGGCATGTGTATACCTATGTAACAAACCTGCATGTTCTGCACATGTATCCTAGAACTTAAAGTATAATAAAAAAAGTTCTTTGAAATCTCTTTAAGGCATACTTTTTGCTACTATTAAATGATGTAAAATATGTGTTCTAGTTAGTATTATGGTTAATTGCAACCAACAGAAAACCCTAGTACAGTAGCTTCAAACATACAAGCTTTTTTTTTTCCTTCTCTCATATGGAGATAGGCAGTGTGGGCTGGTAAGATAATTCAGGATGTTACCTTCCTCAGGTACCTTCTGGGTTTTGCCCGACCGTTCTTGTTGACTTCTGTCCTCATGATGCCAAGATGGTTGTCTCACCTCAGGCCTGATTTACTGCTTTCATCAAATTAAGGGGAGAGCAAAACATCACAGAGAGGGACTGATGAAGGTGCATACCTGCTGACTCCATCTTTTTAAACGTTTCCTGGGAAGCCTAACCTAGTAACTTCCACTCATATTTTATTAGCCACACCAGGATATTTGGCCACTTCTGGCCTCAAGAGAGTCTGAGGAGAGGGGTGTTTTAACTGGGCACATGGCTACCCTCAGCAAAACAAGAATTCTGTTAATGAAGAAGAAGGGGAAAATGGATTGGTATAGTCAACTACCATGTTATATGAAACACATAGCACACAGTGCCTGCACAGAACACCTCAGTTTAGCCAGATATTCCCCATAATGGAAAGTATAATCCCACCACCTCATCTTTGATTTTTTTTTCCTTTGTTTCACTCACAGAAATATCTCTTATTTTTTTTTTCTCCCAGACAAGATATTCATAGAAAAAATACGAGTTGGAAGACTAAAAGCGATCCTGTGATCCAAATTTTACAAAAACAAAACAAAACAAAACAAAACTAAGACTAATACTCAGAGTCTACATCACAACTGGTTCTTACTCATCCTTCTAGATTCAGCATAATTTCACACTACTTCAACCATCACTTGTTGGTCACTTTATCCACAAATTATAAATTTTCTTTAAAATCAATCGTATCAACTGTAGAATTTAAATATTTAAATGTCTTTAACTTTTTAAAGTTTTAGTCATATACATATAGGGACAAGGAGTAAGAAGGTATTAACAATGTATTTGTACTTCTGTTACAATGTTTAGATTTCCAAAAAACATTTATGTATCCATTGGAACAAAAAAGGAAAGAAAATAAATAGAAATATTCAACACAATCAAATATAATAGCAAGGTTTGAAGAATATGAAATAGAAGGGAATTTACACATTTCAGGGGAGAAAACAAGCTGTTATTTCCTTGAATATATCTTTTGGAATCCACATCTGAATTAGCAGATGTCTATTTGTATCTATTGTGACAACAGAGGTCAACATTTCTGAGTCTCCTGTAACATCACAGTAATTCAAGTATATTACAGTGATACATTGTTTTTCCCCCTTATGAAATGCTAACTGAATGCTAAATCACAAATGTACTTGATCTTTGTATGACTTGTTTACAGTTTATAAATTTCTTGCCTCATGTTATCTTCTGATATTTATAATCCATGTTAAAATTTGTCTTTATTTATAATTTAGGCAACTGACATTGAGAGAGGTAAAGAGACTTGCCCAAAGCAACACAAAGTGAAAGGGATAAAACTTCTGATTTCACTTCCAGCTCTCTTTCTCCCACCTCTCTAATTCTTGACCCACTGGTAAAGAATATGCATTTGGGGTCAAAATTTAAAAAGGGTTTACATGCCATTTGAGAAAAAAAAAAGCGTGTTTTGTTTATTTTTTCCAAGTTTGGAATATTATGGTATCGGGGAGAAAAACATTTTCAGGTTCAGTGGTATGGCTAAAAACTTTAGCCAATAAATTTACAACTAGACTGAAGTGTCTAATCTGACAGGTGAAATTCATCATGCCTCTTACCTTCAATTAACTGCTTCGATTTTCTCAAAGAGCAAGCCAAGGACAAAAAAAAAAAATCACTTGCTAGTGATTGATATATTGAATTAAGAGCTGATCACTTTCTCTTTATAATTCTCTGTGAGGATCATCTATATCCTGAAGGAATCACTCTCTGAGTCATATCAAACTCATTCTGGAACCTCTGTCTGCAGACTAGTAATTATTGGAATAAACCAAGGTCTTTCATTCTGTAATTTGCTTCATTGGTTTGATTACTAAGTATTTCTTGAGTCATTAATATGGACTCTTAACTGTTCCAGGTGCTGAGGATATGTGTGCATAGCCAAACTGGACGAACCCTAACCCTCATGATGCTTCCATTCCTATAGGAGACAAAGGAACATGTAAAAACGGTGAAACGCTACCATGACTATAATAGTAGCATGTTATAAGGCAAAAGGAGGAAAAAGTCTCTTGTGTCTAGTAGTCCAGAGGACACTGAAGATGCTATCTGAACAGTAATTTGAAGCATCATGAGGATATACTGGAAGAGGAAGAAAGTAACACCATGAGAGAACAATGAAACTGGAAGAAAATAGAGGATAGGAAGGGAGGTCTCAGCAAAGTCTGTGTATATTGAAGTAGAAATAAAAGAGGAAAAACCCTGGAGAATTTTGTCACCAGACATTGTAATTATGTTTTTAGATGATGTCACATGTGTGGCATTTTTCCAGGGATAGGTTCAAGATGGGACTGGACCATGGAAGTAGCTACCAACCTATAGCATAGATGGAAGTTCTCAAATGAGTAAGGTCAGGCTATTGGGTGGGTTTACATGAGTGATGTGAGTATTAATGCTGCCATTGATGCTAACAGGGATGAGGATGAAAGGAAAAACTGGTCCCAAATAAAAATTCTCAATGCTTTAAACTAAGGGGCTTTCAAATGACAAACGGGTAGTCAGATAATCAATGCTATATCTGGGGGGCATACATTACAAAGGAGGAGTAAATTATTGCATGGCTCTAGAAAAGTTATGGTCTGAAAGTAGCTACAAAATTCTAAGACCATCCCCAAAACTCAAAGTACATATGATGTAAGAACATGAAGTGTCATCTTTGCAGAATACTAAAAGGGAAGTAGGGTCTATGAAAAAAAGACAGGTATGTTAAGACAAGGAATTTGAAGAGTGGAGGAATCTGTTTAAAGTTGAATATGGGTCCTAAAAGCTCAAATGAATGATACCAGGAGTGGCAGGAAGAATCAGAGGAGAAAAGTGTCAGAATGAATATTTCAGAATAGTAGCAAATGAATATTTGGCTTAATGATCTTGTACTGTCACCACTAGATAACAACAAACGGATTATGGTGCATGGTTTCTGAGGTTTGAGCACCAAACAGAGTGAAGTTTTGAGTGTTATTGAGGTTATATCAAATGGATGCTTGAATACACTATGAGTGGAGTTACAGGGGTTTAGAGTTTAGTCTGAGTTTAGAGAATCCAGAGTAATACAGAGTTAGTCTGAGTTTAGAGAATCCAGAATCTTGTATAGCATGTGGTAAGCTTGCCTACCCTTTGCTCTAGAGGCAGACGTTTTGTTTGTTGTACTGGATAAAAAGAATGCCTGGAATTACAGGCACGAGGTGGGCAGATCACCTGAGGTCAGGAGTTCAAGACCAGCCTCACCAACATGGTGAAACCCCATCTCTACTAAAAATACAAAATTAGCTAGGTATGGTGGTGCATGCCTGTAATCCCAGATACTCTGGAGGCTGAGGCAGGAAAATCACTTGAACCCGGGAAACAGATGTTGCAGTGAGCAGAAATTGCACCATTGCACTCCAGCCTGGGCAACAAGAGCGAAACTCCATCTCAAAAAAAAAAAAAAAAAAAAAAAAAAAAGGAATGTTTGCCTTAAGAGAGAGACACTATCCCTTGCTTCAAAGACTATTAAACATCCTTGAAACAATAATCTGGACTGAGGGGTACTCTATATATCTACTGACAAAACATGTAGAAGCATGACCCTTGGAGAACAGTCTCACGATATTGGTTTGTGACCCTTCTTCTAGCTTCAGGGATGACTGAGGATTTGAGCTTAGATTGAATCCCTTTTGTTACACTAACTCAAAGGATTTATCAATGTACTCTACCCAGGATAGGTGAGAATTCAGCTGAGGCAACTATGAATCAAACCAAGCACAAGTGCCTCATTGTTGGGACTATAATGAGTAACAACTGGTAATGAATCATGAGTTACAGCTGAACAAGAAGCTGAGCACTGCTCATGTAGCCCTGAAGGAGCTATTGCTTAATAAGATGTAACAACTGAAGAGACCCAAGAACTGATGGTTTTCCCGTGATGTGATGGCCTTGCCTTACCCAAGTTTGTCTTTTTGTGACCAGACATTTCCCAAGACTGCAGTGGCTAAGAAATTTTGAAGCCATGCCTAAGAGTTGTGGGACCACCCTAGAGTGCTGTTCTGCTATATTGTTGCCTTCTTTTCTGTGTACCTTCTTAAAGCTGTCTGCTTTATGTCAATTCAAACAACCAATGTTGCTCTTGAACAAAGTGAGCACTGCCCCTTATGAAAGGAAATAATCCTGGCTGCTTGCATTCTGGAAGATGAGCATGCATGCACTATTTTCAGGATGTTATCCGTGCCTAATATTCAGCAGTCCTCTGGTTCACACTATCTAAGGAATAAATGTTCAATCTTCTGCTATGTTGGATAAAATCATGTGCCCATCTGTGGGGCATCAGAGAGGAGATTTGAAAACTAAACCACTTCTTATGCAGACTTTCCACCCATCCTTCTGTTTTGCTTTTCCTCTTCTTTACCACGGTCAGAGGTACCTGTGCCACCTGAACCTTTCTGCCTTCATCTTCTAGGGTTTCTGCCAAATTCACTTAGTTTTCTGCTCCTAAAGTCTGTTCTCTGTTACAATTTGTCATCTGCCTTCCAGTTTTTATAGTATGTTGTTATTATCCATTATAATTTTCTTGGTCTTGGTGGGTTTCTCCTTTTTGATTTTTTAAATAAATAAATAAAATGAAAAAATAAAATTCACGACTCAATACCACGTTACTAGGGTTTTGAAGGAGAACAAAGGTTAGCACACGTGTTCAATTTACCACTGTAATCACAAAGCCTCAGAATCACTTTTTACCTTTCAATCATTTAATGCTCAATAAATAACCAAGGCACCCTTCATCGTTGATAATGTACCTGGGCAGAGGCTCTAGAATGCTATTGTCTTCCCCCCTGCCCACCCCTCCACCAGGTTATCAAATCAAGTTCAATAGATAGTTATTGAATTTTACCCAGAGTATATACGGAATGATTTATGCATACTTTAATTACAGCCATATTTTACCTTGGATGGCCATTTTCATTAAAATGGTCCATAATATATATTCTTAAAGTCAGGTTTATTGAAGAATAATTTAATACTATAAAATTCTTCAATTTTCGGTGTAGAGTAGAATGAGTTTTCACACATTTATTCAGCATTGAGATAGCCACCAAAATCAAGATGTAAAATGTTTCAACTTCCAAAAATTTTCTTCCTGCTTCTTTGTAGACAATCCTCTTACCCTATCCCCAGACCTTGGCAACAACTGATTCATCCTTATGAAATTGTCTTTGTAGGACTGTCATGGAAAAGGAATTCTGTAATAAGTGCCTTTTGTTTCTGGCTTTTATCACTCAGCAGGCTACATTTGAGATTAATCCATGAGGTTAAATATGTAAGTAGTTCACTCCTTTTTTTCCTTTTTAATCCATTGTATGGCTGTAATACAATTGAGTTGCTTCTGGTTTGGGCTTCTATATTTATTCTATATATATATATAAGATATATAATATGTAAATAAATATAATGTATCTATAAAGCTTTATCTATAGATAAAGATATATTACACCTTTATACATATCTTAATATATAATATATATAAAGCTTTATCTATAAAGATATATTACAGCTTTTTACATATCTATAAAGATAATACACAGCTTTATACATAATATATATATTTATTCATATTGTACACAACATATTATATAAATAATATAAATTATACTATATTATATATAATTATGTATAATATAAACAAATATATATTATGTATCAATAGATAAAGCTGCTGCAGACATTCATGTATAGGTATTATGTGCATACAACTTTTCATTTTTCTTAAATACCTAGGAGTAGGATTGCTGGATTATGAGTATATAATTAAATTCTTTTTTTTTCTTTTTAAGAGATGGGGGTCTCATTCTATTGCCCAGGCTGGAGTACAGTGATGCAATCATAGCTCCCTGCAGCCTTGAACTTCTGGGCTCAAGCGATCCTCTTGCCTCACCCTCTTTAGTAGTTGGGACTCCAAGCACAGCCCATCATGCCAAGCTAATTTTTAATTTTTTTTTTTTTGTAGATATGGGGTCTTATGTTGCCCAGGCTGGTCTTAAACTCCAGGGCTCAAGCAGTCCTCCTGCCTCAGCCTCCCAAAGTGTTGGCATTACAGGTAGGAGCCACTTTGCCTGGCCTTTATTAAATTCATACTGAACTACTGAACCATTTTCTAAAGTGGCTATTTTGTACTTGCACCACAATATATGAGGGTTCTGGCTGTTCCACATGACTTTTTTTTTTTTTTTTTTTTTTTTGGTGCCCTATCATACTAGCTAGAACCTAAAGCAAATGTTGGATATAAGTGTAGATAGCAGGAACCATTACCTAGTTCCCAGTCTTAAAGGGAAAGCATTCAGCCTTTTATTGTATAATAGAATGTTAGCCATATATGGCATTTAAGATATCCTTTAAGAAAATGAAGAAGTTCTTTTCTATTTGTATGTTGCTGAGAGGTTTTGTTGTAAAGTGTTATTGAATTTTGTCAATTTTTAAAATGCATCTATTAAGATGATCACCTTTTTTCTTGTTTATTTTGTTGATATAGGTGAAATTCATTGACAGATTTTCAAAATTTGAACCAATTTTGCATTCCTGGTATATAAACACCATGTGGTCAAGGTGTATTATCTTTTTATATATTGCTGGATTTTATTGGTAATATTTTTTAAAGGATCTTTGCAAATAGGCTCATGAAGGATGTTGGTCTGTATACTTCTTTTCTTGTAACATTTTTTACTGTTTGGCAGCAAGTTAATGCTAGCATCAATATAGAGTTGAAGAATGTTTCCTTCTCTTTCAGAAGAATTTGTATAGAAATGGTGTGACTTTTCTCCGAAAAGTTTGTTAGCATTTTCCTATGCAGCCATTTGTGCCTCGACTTTTTTTTTTTTTTTTTTTTTTTTTTGCTTGTTTGTCTGTTTTTGGGGATGAGTTTTAACTATACTTTTGTAATAAATACAGAGTGATTCAGGTTACATTTTTTTTTTTTTTTTGAGACAGAGTTTCACTCTTGTTGCCAAAGCTGGAGTGCAATGGTGTGATCTCAGCTCACTGCAACCTCTGCCTCCTGGGTTCAAGTGATTCTCCTGACTCAGCCTTCTGAGAAGCTGGAATTACAGGTGCGTGCCACCACGCCTGGCTAAATTTTTGTATTTTTAGTAGAAACGGGGTTTCACCATGTTAGCCAGGCTGGTCTCGAACTCCTGACCTCAGGTATTCACCTGCCTCGGCCTCCCAAAGTGCTGAGATCACAGGCGTAAGCCACTGCACCCGGCCATTTACTTCTTTATGATTGAGCTTTGGTAATTTGTGTCTTTCAAGTAATTTGACTTTCATCTATGTTATGATATTTATTTTATTCATTGGCATAAATTGTTCCACAAAATCCCTTTAATATATACTTACTAATCTGTACAATGTGTAATGTTTCTGCTTTTATTACATATATTGGTAATTTTTGTATCTCTTTTTTTCATGATCAGTTTGGCTAAAGGTTCATCAATTTCATCAATTCTTTTTAAAGAACCAGGTTTTGGTTTAATAAATTTAAAATAAAAAACTTTTTATTCTGTTTAAAAGTTCATTGATTTCTGGTAATATATTTCTTTCTTTCTCTCTGTTTTCCTTGAATTTACCTTACTTTTTTTTAGTTTCTTAGGATATTACCTTCCATTATTGATTTTAGACTTTCCTAGATTTCTGAATACACATAAAAATTTTCCTCTAAGCATTGCTTAAACGACATTCCACAAATTTTGGTATGTTGTATTTTACATAGAGTCAATTCAACATTTTATTTCTGTTTTGACCCATGGGCTAGGTAGAAGTGTAATGCTTAATTTTCAAATATTTGGAGACTTTACAAGTATCTTTCTGTTACTTATTTCTACTTTAACTTCATTTTTTGAAAAAAAACACCATTTATGTAAATTTACATTTCAGTTGGTGAGATTTGAATTATAACTCAGAAAATAGTCTATTTTGGTGAATGTGTCCTGTGTATTTGAAAAGAATGTGCATTCTGCCATTGTTGTGTGAAGTGTCTTTTAAATATCAACTATCAAAATTGTTCCATAATATTGTTCAGCTCTTTTATGTTCTTAGTGATTTTCTGTTGACTTGTTCCATCAGTCACTGAGTAATTGAAATTCCCAACTATATTTATATATTTCTCAATTTATTTTTTCAGTTGCTTTTTTCTTATGTATTTTGAAGTATTTTGAAGCATTTTTGTTGGGTCCATACATATTTATGACAATGATGTCTTTGTGATATAATTTTAAATTATTTATCCATAGGATATATTATTTATATTATTCCTCTTTATTTTCAATAATAGTGCTTATTCTAAGGCTACCTTGTGTAATATTAATAGATACTTCCACTTTTTTTGTAGTGTTTACAAAGCAAATCTTATTTCTATCATTTTCTGTTAACGAAGTTATATCTTTATATTAAAAAATGTTTTGTCTATAGTATAGAATGGGATCTTACATTTCTGCCTAATCCGACAATCTTTGCCTTTTTGGTGGGGGTTGACTATTTACAGTTAATACATTTGGATCTAAATCTTTGCTCTTGCTAGTTGCTTTTTCATTGCCCTATATGTCTCCCTTACCCTCTTTCCCTGCCTTCTTTTGGTTTGAGTTTATTTACAATTTTACTTTTGAAAGCATAATTTTGTACTTGTTCTAAGGTTTACATTACACATTTTAAATTTATCACAGTCTATCTTCAATTAACACTATACAACTTCAGGTATATGAAAATATTAAAGCAGTACACTTTCATATTTTGTGCTATTGAATTCATACATTTTACTTAAACATGTTAACCACATAACACATTGTTACACATTTCTGCTTTAAACAGTTAACTTTTGAAAAGATTAAAAATAAAAATTCTCATTTCTACCATTTTCCTGTGCTGTTTATTTGTGTAGATTCAAATTTCCATGTGATATTATAGTCTGTTTCTGAAGAACACTCTCTTCTAACACTTCTTTTAGTGCAGTATATTGGCAATAAAATCTCTTAGATTTTGTTGGTCTGAGAAAGTCTCTTTTATTTGCATTAACTATTGAAAAATATTTTCAATGGTTATAGAATTCTAGATTGACAGATTTATTTTTTTTTCTTTTAGCACTTTAAAGATTTTACTCTGTTAGCTTCTGGCTACCACAGTTTCAGATGAAAAATCAGTTGTCATTCTTACATTGCTTCTCTTTAATGTTTTATTTTTCCCCTCTGGCCACCTTCAAGACTTTTCTTTAAGTTTGGTTTTATCAGTTTGAATATAATAACTCTAGGACTGTGTGTATGTGTGTGTATATGTGCACATGTGTGCACATCTGACTTGTGTTTTCCCTAAGTTTCTACAAATGGTGGTCTAGCTTTAATTAATTTTGGAAAATTTCATCTATTATATCTTTAAATGTTTCTTCTGCTCCTTTGGTTCTGTCTTTTCCTTTTCAAACTCCAATTACATGTATATCCAATTATTTGATATTGTCCGAGAGCTCTCATTGCTTTGTTCTTGTTTTAATTTTTTGTCTTTTTTTCTCTTTGTCACAGTTTGGATAATCTATGTAGCCCAATATTCAAGTTATCTGTTTTTATGGTCTATTCAGTGTGCTAAGTCTGTTAAAATTTTCGTTGTGTTCAATATCAAAATTATTCTAAAACTCCCACTTTACTATTTCTTTTAGCTTTCATTTCTTTTCTGATATTCCCTATTTGTGTAAATATGTCATCCAATTTTCCCACTAGATGATATGATTTCACATAGTATTCAAAGCAATTCTAAAGTTTATATCAGTTCTACCATCTAAGTCACCTGTGAGTCTGATATTATTTATTGCCTCACCTTGTGTTACTCCTTTTTTCCTTTTATATGTGTGTCACAATCCTGATGGATTGCTTAACATCATGAGCAGAAGAAAACTAAAAACTAAGGTAAATATGTTTTTTTTCTGAAGATGAACACATCTTCTCTCTGGCCTAACCAGCTAATGAGTTTTGGGGGTTGAGTCAATTAAGCCAGTAGTTGAGATAAATTTAGGTTTTATTGCTACTATCCTTACTTTCAGATCACCACAGTTTTCAAATTCCTCTTGCAGTGAACAACTTCTTAATGGGAGGTCTTGGGGGTCAGAAGATTGTATGTAAGCATTCCTCCTCCACTCTCAGTTTCAGCAGTCTCTGAATACATGTGTTATTAAAGAAGGTCTCTCTCTATGCTCTTTTCCTTTCCTAGTTTTATACTTCTGTCGATAGCTACTGAGGCCTAGGTTCATTGTGAGCATAGGGGGAAATTCTCATGTCAAGCCTAAGTTTTAGGCAAAGATTCTCTGCCTGGGCTTCAGGGAGTGGAAACTTCCCAGTGTTAGTATTTCTTGACCCCCTCCCTCCTCCCATGGCCACCAAGCTCTGCTCAATATTTCTTAGTATCTCTGGCACCTCTTGGGCTAATAAATATTTTCCATCTTTCTCTGTATAGAGGCTTCTATTTTGTAAGAGTGCAAGACTTGGCTTGGAGAGATTTTCCTTTCTCCCAGAGGCTGTACCTTTACCCTTTATGCAAAAACAGTAGATCTTTTCCTTAGTCCAGAGCTGCAGGGTCTGATCTCCCTCCTTCATTGGTGAAGACATTTTTTCCTATGAGAGATGTGTTCAGGGAAGCAGGAGGTAGTGTGTATCTGTTCCCCAGCTGTAGTCAATCAATGACTGCACACATGGGCCACCTGCACCTTATCTCCAGTTTCCTTGTCTGCTCCAAATCTGTCTCATGAGCACCTGCTAGAGAATCTAGCTAAGAACTTACAAATGAATGCAAATTTCTCTTGTATCTGGAACTCAGAGTTATTTCTAAATTGATACACTAGCCTAGTCTCAGCATTTAAAGTTCACAAAAATGTTAATTAATTTCTACTTAAATAATTTTATAAAAACTATCTCCTTTATTTGCCCTGCCACAGGTGAAAAAAGAAAAGACTTTTATCTCATTTATCTTTATAGGGGCATATTACTCTTTGGAATTTATGCTTTGCAATTTCAATAATGATGGCTTTTTAAAAAAGTCATGATTTAGGAGATTATTCAGCTCTTTCTCATTGTTAGGATGGGAACAATCCTTTCTTGCACTCTTTTGCATCCTGAGCAGAAGTTGAAAATTTTATCTGTATTTGATTCAGATATTGTCATCAAATTTAAAAACTAAGAGAGACCTTCCTATTCCCCTAGGAAAGTGGTTATAAGGCATTTTATGCTGGTGAAATTCTAGAATTTGTGAAAATATGCTTGAAAGGATTGGTAAGTGAACAGAAATTTTAAAAATCAGGTTTGGAAAAAAGTAATGAAATAAATCTTCAACAGTTGTAGTATTTATTGGTCACTCTTTATCACTGGTTAGCTATTTATATCAGGTTGTTTGCCACCCTGAGCATGCAATTTGAAACATTAAAAAGGCAAAGTAGTCGCATGTTTCAGTAAACACAGATTCCATCTTGGGCTTCACATTAAACCATGCCTTTTACTCACAGTACTTCGTGTACCACTTTGTGCTGGGTCACTTGTCCTGTCCAGCTCAAATTTCCATTATTTGTATTAAAAGAAAATGCACATACTCATCAAAATTTAGCTGCACAATTCTGAAGGATTTTGGTAACTTGACATACCAGGAATTTCACCACCCTCATCCAACTCTTACATTTTATAGATAAACAAAAGTCAGATTAATTATTACCACATAATAGCACAGCCATGGCAAAAATTTAGGCATCATGATTCTAGTGCCTTTGACTTAGAAAGATAGTGTCTATAAGAAGTTATTAGATGGTGTCTTTGTTTTGTATTTCCTTCAAAATTCAGCTGAGGTGGGCAGATTGCTTGAGCCCAGGAGTTCGAGACCAGCCTGGAAAAGATGGCGAAACCCCATCTCTACAAAAGTTATAAAAACTAGCCAGGTGTGGTAATGTGTGGCTGTGGTCCCAGCTACTCAGGAGGCTGAAGTGGGAGAATCACCTGAACCCAGGATGTTGAGGCTGCGGTGAGCCATGATAGTACCACTGCACTCCAGCCTAGGCAACATACCAAGACCCTGTCTCCAAAAAAAAAAAAAAAAAAAAATTAATGGTTTATTTCTAAAACTGCTGTAAAATTGTTTTAAGCTTTTTTTTTTTTGGTTACTTTTCTATCAACAGTTGGTCTGCACACTTAGTGAAAGAAGCAGGAGAAACTTTTAAAAAATGTTTATTAAATTAAAAAAATCACTTTTTTATTTGAATCTCCTGAAGAACCTAGAATATTAGTCACATCAAAGTTGATTTGCATGTTAAAGTAGATTAATTTTTAATTGCATTGAGCTAGACTTTTGATGGCCATTTGTATAATGCAAAGGTCTATGCAGATAGATACATATGTGGCTTTGTTTGATTATCATCTAGTAGATTTTGAGAATTCTATCCTATTTTGTTTTGTAAGTGGGAGTCAAAATGTCTGTCTCTAATCTTAACCATGGAAAGCAAAAGCTGTGGCTTTGCAAGTATCTGTACCATGCACACCCCAATATTTGGAAAAATTAATCATTTAAGACATCATTTTTTGGTGATTTAGCAGATCCAATCATCAACTATTTCCTAACTCAATCACAGACTTTAAAAATACATGTACTGGTTCATTTTGAGCAAAATTTAACTTTTACTGACTCATCATTGACAGGAAAATGTCTCTGTCTTATAGTATAAATAGTAGTAATGACTGATCATTCCAAGAGGATAAATAGGTAGCAGGACAGGCTACTTTCAACCTCCTCTGCAGTTGTATCACATAAAAAAAAAAAACAAAAAAAAACAAAAAAAAAAACAACCTTACTCAAGATGCATACTGTCAGAGATTATCTCATACCCCTGCCAAATGTGGGTTATAAAGGCCTAACAAAAGAATAAAGTAACAAAAATCACCTCCATCCCTTTTACTAAATGCAACTGCCACAAATTACTGGAAATCTTTCCAATTATGGCCCTAAAATTGAGCATTCAATTGGGAACAAACAAGGCCTACTCCACTGCTAATCCTTCGAAAATTACAAAAATTCTAAATTGCCTGTCTTGGATTGAAGTAGATACTTACAAGGTAATGGGGTGGTCTTGGTCACCAAAGAGATGGAAATTCAAATAAAGGATGTGACACTGCGGGTGTTAGCAAGTGCTAAGTAAAAGGACGCCTCTCTTTCTTTGTGCTTGTTGACCTCTTTACTCCCAATGCTCAGTCTCTGGGGCTAAATGCATTTCCATTTCTTGTGATCTCTTTTGGGCTTTCTCATGAGAAATCTCCCTTCTATCCCTTCCTTTACTCTCCATGCATCTCCAAGCAGAGTATCAGTCTGGATCCTTAAAAGGACTGAGTTATATTGGGTCAATCATAAAAATTTAGGTTCTATAAGCACTGGATAATTCTCTTAAAACTTGAATTTAGCAAATTTTCAAAAGAGCATCGCATACCATATGAGAAGGTTTTATATGAATAAGTTACAAAATGATAAACTAAAATGAGATAGTATTAGACACATCTTATATTCTGAGTTTATAGACATCTTACATTCTGAGTTTCTCAGTTATTTATAAAAGCATTGCAAATCAACTAGTTAATGCCTTCAGTTTTAATGATATAAAAACCAGAGCCAGAAATATTTTTAAATTATTTAACTACAGTGACATAGGATATCAGTCAGACTCCAGAAAATAAGAATACCTCTGTGTATGTTAAACAGCAGGAAATTCATGTATGGACTTGGTCACACTGGTGTAAAAAACAGCTGAGAAGGCAAACAGCGGCTTATTAATTAACCCAGGCAGTAGTCACAACAAGAGATTGCTATCACCCAAAGGAGAGAAATGTTGTTTCCAGAACCCAGAAGAAGCCAGAGCCACCTGAGGAGATGTCGAATCACAGTTTGGGTTTCCTGCAGGAGCTGGGAACCCAAAGAAACCAAAGACGGCAGCGATACTGGTAGAGAAACACAATTCCTTGACTTGATATTTTGTGACACAGATATAGATATAGATATAGATATAGATATATAGATAGATTTAGATATAGATAGCACGCAATTCCCTTCTTCTGCTGTAGAGCTAAGAATGAGACACAACTTGGTTTCTCCCCTTTTCCCTTTCCCTCCTGCCAGTTCTCTACCTATGTCTCACATTGTCTAAAACCCATGGAAACTAGTCAGCAAAGGAGTCTGCTAGCTGGAATTTGCAAGCTAAAGAGGGAGAATATATCTTAGTTCAATCAGGCAATAACTGACTCTAATGGTTAGTGACAGAAATGACCCTGAATAGGATGATTTCCATGGCACACAAAACTTCAACTGCTCACTTTTAGACCACAAGTATTTCTCCTCTGCTATCATTCTAACCTTGTAATTCCTATAGCTCAGGGGCCTTGATGATTCAATCCTTTGAGTCTGTCTGGTTCTTCAGTGGTCCTACTTACAGGAGGAAGTTATTCTAAAATCTCCCTTCCATCCAATTAATTAGACCAATAAACACTTTTCAAAGGTTCTATCTTCCCAGTGTCATCAGATCTTTTCTGGCACACAAAGCCATCCATAGCCTGTCCTCAGCCTAATGCCCCAGAGTCATTTTACACTGCTCTTCCTTGGTATATATTTGCTGCTCTTGACTTTACACAAAATGCTTTTACTCCATGCCTTCTGTGCCTGTTAAAGTCTCACCTCTTCTATGAAGTCCTCTATAATTTCTCCAGCCTTCTTGGCCTCCCTCTCTCAGTAATTCCTATAGCACATTAGAACTGGCCATACTGTAGCAGCCAATCCCTTGCTATTATGTAATTATTTTCTAATTGTTTCATGTATATTATTCTTGGAATGCCAACAGTGGTAAGCCCTTGATGAAAATGACTATGCCCTCATATTACTTATGTATGTATACCCTGTATCATTTGGATTTGTGTTGATCACATCAGAGATACTCAATACTAGTTTAGTTTCCTCCATTTGTGTGTGTGTGTTCACAGCACTTACTAGAAATATGCTGTCATATCCACTAGAATAACCTTTACTCTGCCTCTGCTCTTGTCTATATTCTTTTATCCTATAAGGTTTAACTCAGTCTCCTCAATCTCCTGGACTTCTAAGATGTTATATAATTTCTAGCTCTTGACCAGAGCTCCCTTATTTTCTCTTTCCAATATAGGCTCTCTCTTTTCCTAGTCTACTTCCTCTTGAAGGCAGGAATCATATTTTAAGCTTTTTTTTTTTTTTTTTTTTGAGACGGAGTCTCGCTCTGTCGCCCAGGCTCGAGTGCAGTGGTGCGATCTCGGCTCACTGCAAAATATTTCCATACTACCTTGCACAGTGAGCCCAGATGAGAACATAGACTGAATTTTACTGTTTTTCTATGTGTCCCAGAATTTAATGTAGTATTTGGCATATGTTAGGTAATCAACAAATATTTCTTAAATGAATTAATGATAAAAAAATTATAATTCAAAGCTAGGTTGATTTAAAATAATTTAAAAATATTATTTCTGAAAAATTTGGGCATAAAGACCAATTCATTTTCAAGAAAGTTTTGGAAATAAGAAACAAAATCCACTGGTGTTACTTATACTACAATAACCTGATTTTGATTGGTAGCTTCGAATTCTTTTCCTGTCAAATTCTTACCAGAGGATCTAAAAGTAGCAAACTGGATCAATTTTCATTTTCATTCCCCTGCTTCAATTTTGGGGACATTCTGGGGAGCCTCCTAGGGGAAATGTGAAGAGCAGAGAAATGCTCAAAATGCAGAAAATAAGAGTAGCAGGAGGAGAAGCAAGAGGCCTGGACAATGTACACATTAGCTAACCCCAGCTGATTTTTATGCCTTGAAACAGTATGTAACACAAGAGACTTTAAAATCCATGTTTTAAGCAGAATCAATCTTATGCTTTGAAAAGGTATGATCTTTTGCACTAGAAGATCTGTCACTTACCCTCTCTCAGCTCTAATACATCTGCCAAATCAATATTTGCTTGTAAGCCCAACATTACTCCAAAATGATAGATATTGAATTGCCAGGAGCCACATAACACCTTAGGGTTGGCCCTTTACCAAGAAGAGGAAGATGATGGAGGAGAGGAAGGAAAAAGGGAGAACATGTAGAAAAGGAAACGGAAGGTGCAATCACAGGAGATGAGACAGCCTGGTGCTAAGGGTTGCTTACTTCACACCTGTGCCATAGGTTCCTTTGTGTATAGATTGATTTGGCTCAAAGTGTCCTCTTTATGAAAGGAAAGGCTTTTTCATTAATTCATTTTGCAACATAGAATACATCTGAGACAAAGACTAGGTATGATATCCCACATGCTATTTATGCTTCTGGCTCTGTGATTTCCATATAGAAAACAGAGATGTCAGCGAATCACTTCATTCTTTTCAGGGAAACCTTGAGTGGGTACACAACACAGTCACTAAGAAAAAAGTCACTAAGAGCACTAAGATGTGCTCTGCACCCCTTCTCTGCCACCATCTGAAGTTCTCCACCTGGAGGCCTGTCTCCAAATGGCCTCCTTTTCCCCAGCTGATTTACTGGGAGTCACTGATTTACACGGGCACTGCAGAATAAAGGATGCTTGGTTTTTCTTCTGTGTAAAATCGTGTGCCCCACCTGTACTTCACCTCACATTATGCATGCATTCACATGTATACATAAAGCATTATGTGTACATTCACACATGGCCTACTTCAGCTAACATGCATGCTTCCTTTTCCTGTCCTCAAAACCAAATGATTTTAGCCTTTTGGGATCTCTTAATTGGGGCCCTAAAAATATCACTAAAGTTACTATTTGGCAACATGTCTATATTACTTTTGCTGGGGTAACTCATTATTACTTTATTTTCAATTTCAGTGTATACTTCTGTACATCATGATAAAGATTCCAGTCTGGCCAGAAACTATCCCTAACACTAACTACCCATAACTCATGATGCTCCTTTTGGACCAGGTCTAAAAAGGACCTTATCTTAGTCCGTTCTGTGTGGCTATAACAAAATAACACAAACTGGGTAATTTATAATGAACAGGAATTTATTTGGCTCATGGGTCTGGGAGTGTAGAAGTCCAAAATCAAGGGGCCACATCTGGTGAGTAGCTTCTTGCTGGGTCATCTCATAGCAGAAGGTGGAAGGGCAAGACAGCACCAGAGAGAAAGAGAAAGGAAGGGGGCCTAACTCACCCTTTTATCAAGAACCTGTGCCTGTGGTAACTAACTTGCTCCCTCACTAAGGACATTGACCTATTTATGAAGGCAGAGTCCTCATGATGTAATCACCTCTTAAAGTTTCTATATCTCAACATCATTGCAATGGGGATTAAGTTTTCAACACATGAGCTTTGGGGACACATTCAAACCATAGCAAACCCTCTTTAATGGTTAAGTGCTCTAAACTATACCGTACATTCTGTATCTTAAGAAGAACTGCCCTGAAAATATTTGAAGAGAGTTCTCCCCTTAGACCGTTCATCTTCAATTTAGATGTTTTTAATATCTTTATCATGGCTTCCAGGACAATCTTAATCTCTCTCCTCTGGATGAACTGCATTTTGAAAGCATGCCTTTAAAATGTAACTCTTGAAACTGAGTTCAATAAACACATCAGTTGACTTCTGTCTTCTACTTACAATGTAGAAAGCGAAAAAGATTGATGAACCCATTTACTACCAACTAAAAACAAAACAAAACACCAGACCATCTGCAAATTGGCAATTGTCTTGATTCCATCAGAGAGCTGAGATTGCAGAGCAACCAACTACCCCAAAATATAAGACAAGACAGCAGCCTCCATGAAGATGTAGGATGCAAACACATGCTTACCTGGAGGAGATGCTTCTGGACACCATGCACCCTGGTAAGGAGAAATAGGTCACAATTTTAAACAAATTGCTGAAGGCTAAAAGTAGGCTAGTGCGAGAATATAGAGCCCTAATAGCAATTGACTCAAGAAGAATTTGCACTTACTTTTCAGGCTTCTTCTCAAGGTAATTTCTGGTGCTCAGGAGAAAGATTGGGAGCAGCAGATGAGAAGAGAGGAGGCTTCCTGATGGAGCTGTCATGGCACAGGGGCAGTCTTTGCTGGCACGACACAGACCCCCTCCTAAAGCCTTCTCCCCTACAGAGGGCAAGAGCCTTAAGCAAGTTGAGGGAAAGCAGCAAATCCTGTCACACTAAAGCACAGGTGAAGACTCTGAGGCTGGGGAAGGAAACAGATTAAAAGAAGAGAACCACGACCCTGGAGGGACACAGGTGTATATCCCAAGCCCAGATCATTAGCAATCTCCTGCTATGGGGCTGGAACAGGACCACAGCAATAAAGAGCACCAGGATTTGCCGGCAGAGAGCTGTTGATGCTCTGATCACTGAGCCATCAGTTTTATTACTTAAATATCTCACCTCAATGCTAAACATTGAGGTTTTTAAAAACATCATTACTGACTCCTAAATTTTTGTCTAAAAATTAACTCCTGGTTTTCCCCAGTCATGTTACAAGACGTAGCTTTTTGAATGGCTGCCAAAGAATGGGGTTTAGACAATCTCTTTACTTTAGGGCTTTGAAAATAGACAACAAATAGAGAAGGGGGAGAAAAATGTTAGAGGATTAAAAATTCAACAGCCCTCAGAAGCTTGGCTGTTCTTTTCTTTATGCTAGCCTCCAAGTCTACTTTTTGAATATTGAGATGATTGGGACAGAACAGGATAATAAATATGTAAGAAAAAAATCATCTAATCTCAATAATCTTCTTTTCTCCCCCTATTGTTGGCTGACAGAAAAACAAACACAAGGGTAAAGAAAATGCTAGTTTCTCATCTGCAGTGGATGCGTATGTCTGAGGGGTGAGCTTTCTCTACCAAGTGCCCGGTGATTCAGGTTGTAATGAGAAGAGCAAAGCACCAGGTCTCCTGCCTTTCTCTAATCCTTCTGAATCAGTCCCACCTTGCTGCTCCTTCTGTGCTTGTTGGAAGCGTCTCATGGGTTTTGTTGTTGCAGTTGTTGTCTCAATACCACAGACGTCTTTTAGTCTTTCCTTCCATCCTCTATCCTCCAATGCTGCAAGCTGCTAAGGGATTTTCATGGCACAGGTGGGACTTTATCCCACACTCACTGCATTGCATTAAATAAGGACAATGACATTTCCAGAGCCCCACAGGAATGGGGGAGGGGGGAATAAAGGAAAGAGAGATAATTATGGTCCTGTTAAATGTATTCTGCTTCCCTTCATCTAATCCCTAAAGCCTTCTAGGTATGCAAAACCCAAGAGACTGTGTTTCTGAAGTCATTTAAGGAAAAGGTCTATGTAGAGAAGACAAGTTGAGGGGTTATGTCATCAGGGAGTGCTCTGCTCTAATGGCCTAATCATGCTTAGGCGGTTTGCCAGGGATTTGGGGTTATTTTGTTTTGTTGTTATTTACTTTCTTTTTTCTTACTACTGGTTTTGGTTTCAGTGTTCCCAGAATTTGCAGTAACAAACTTTTGAATATAACATGTAAGGAAGATGGTGATTTTTTTTTTTTTTTTTTACAGTTCAGATTAGAGGTTTAGGTAATAACCAAGAGACCTTGTTTTCTCCCTCTCTCCTTCCTTCTTTCATCAGCTATTTATTAAACACCTCCATGTGTAAATAGTGCCACCATCATTCTAATGACAGTTGGTTAAAAGCAATGTAGGTGATACAAAAATGAATGAAACACAAACCCTTTCTTCTTGTAGCATAAGAACTAGCCGTGCAGTTCCAGAATGGCTATGGTGAGCAAACACTTCGCTGTGGAACAATTGCTCCCTGGCCATTATGCTCAGGCAGGAAGGTGCCAGGGTCTGCAGCACACACCCTAGTACCCCAGTGCTCAGCCAGTGCTTGGCAGAAACTGGGCTCCATAAATGTTTCTTGAACTAACTGAGTGAATGAATAGACGGACCCTAGAGAACTTTCCATTCACATTTTCTGTGTCCAAACCAACTTTCAGATTTGGATCTTTATTATGAGGAATCTAGACACACAGAGACCTGCTAACTCACCTCCACAAATACCAAAGGGGATTTTCCAGTTCTTGGAGACATTTGGAGACTTTCCAAATCATGGCAGAACATAGAGAAATTACCAAAATGCAAGCCTCTGAAGAAGAGTTCTCTAAACTCCAGAACTCTGCAGACTTCCCGCTCTACTTTAAAAGCAGCAAAACTACAATACAGAACAAAACAACTTTAAAGGTACT
The DNA here is from genome assembly GCF_000001405.40 of Homo sapiens. NCBI lineage: Eukaryota > Metazoa > Chordata > Mammalia > Primates > Hominidae > Homo > Homo sapiens. The sequence continues at coordinate 52,221,302 of NC_000018.10, read as the reverse complement.
AAAAATCCCTACTCTTGCCATTTTTTTGTATATTACTCTTTATTTGAAGATTTTAGTGTCATCCAATTCACTTTGCATGGTAATTTTTTCTGCAACTCCTGAATGGTGTTTTATCAAGTTCAAGTTGACCATATAAAGAGATGGGGCACTTAGAGTTTTGTGAGAAATTCTGTTATTTTGTAGGCAACTGTTATGGTAAAACTTATTTTTTACAGTAAGATACCAATTAGTTGGATATTGCTTTCTCATGCTTCCACACGAGAGCTGCTTCCACAAATCTTTAGATATGCGGCCAATTTAATTAGTTTTCCATATTATACGTATTTGTAATATCCCTATCTTCTCTCTGCCTTTTCCCATCTCAGCATTGCATCCAACTTCTTCAAACCATCTAACATGTCTTCTCTTTTTCACAGTGAAGCTATCTTTTTTGTCCCTAGGAATTTGAAACTTTTCTAACCTTATTATCTTCTTAATGTCCTTTGGAAAGTGGTAGCATATAGATCTGAATTCAGGGTTCAAAATACCATCAGGTTAGTATGACTGAGTGCCCACCTCTCCTTTAACCCGAGCAGTGGCATGGCAAGCACATCACACCTGGCACATCACAGTGACCCAATTCCATTTGATGCAATTCAATACAATTAAATGAATCAAATGGCTTCTGTGGGTCAGGAAGTTGGCTGGTGCAACACACAAAAAATGAAAAGATTCTGAAGTCTGCACTCAAACACTTTAGCATTCACTAGGGAGATACACTCACAAATCTCTTAATTGTTCATTTGTAATAAACATTTTACTACCTGTATGAACAAAGTCCTGTGAAAGTACAGAAAACTATTATTTCTAAAGGGTGTGTGTGTTTGCATGTTTTCAGGAAGTGGTGGGGTCTGAGATTGGCCAGAGAGTCTACCCAGAAATAGTAACACTGAAGCTGGTTCAGTGTAAAAGTCAGGTGTAACTGGGCCAGAGCAGACAAGAAAGGGAGTTTCAGCAGGAACCCCAAACACAGAAGTGTGGCAAAGCATGGAGTGTTTCAGGAATGCACTGTGATTAGGGAATAGAATGTAACAGAGGAGGACAGAGCAAAGAGCAAGTCTGCCCAGATTGAATTTGGTTGCCAAAGAAAAAGATGATCCATAGTAGGTAAAGGGGTGTTATGGAAAATTTTAAGTAGAGAATTGGCATGCTCCAGTTCAGACTCTTGAAAGATAATAGTAGGGCAGTGTGTTAGAGCGACAGGGTAAAGGAAAGCTGAAGGCAGGAAGATTAGATATAAGGTTTTAGAAAGAGTCAGAAATATACTCTTGCACGTGTGTGTGTGTGTGTGTGTGTGTGTGTGTGCATGCACATGTGTAGTGATAGGTAGGTTGTCCAAGCTATAGGCTCAAGAAATAGCTCATCTCAGCCCTACTGCACATCTGCAAAATTCTCCCCCATTAATATGTAGTTGCCTGCCTCTAAGCTGAAAAATGATGAAGGCATGGCAAAGAATTGTTGTAATCTTTATACATTTTAATTTACTTCTTAAATAAACATATAAGAGCCACATTATACAAATATTTAATAGCTTCCAATGCCCAGATGATGGAAAATATCTCCCTCAGCAGTAGCATTCCCCACCTGAGTTCAGGTAATTCTTTCATTATGCAAACCACCTTGACCTCCGAAACCATATGTTATTCTAATAATGTGTTTGAGAATATGGTTGTGATTTTCATGTCTCTCAATAGTAGAGAATGATAGCTCAGTGTATCATATTTATTGTGGTAAAGGTAGTTAAGCCATGCAAAGGGGCCAATGGAATACAGAGTCTCCCTCTTATCCTCAGAGATATGTTCCAAGCCCCCCAGTGGATGCTTGGAACTATAGATACTACCGAATCCTATATATGCTATGTTTTTTCCTATATAGTAATGGGTGGGTAGTGTAGATAACACGGACACACAAGACAAAGGGATGATTCATGTCCCTGGCAGTACAGAGTAGGATAGTGAGAGATTTTATCATGCTACTCAGAACAACACATAATTTAAAACGTATGAGCTGTTATTTCTGGAATTTTCAATTTAATATTTGTGGACAGTTGGTAGCAGTTGACTGCTGGTAACTGAAACCCCAGAAAGCAAAACCATGGATAAGGGGTGACTACTGTATACAAAATGACCCCACAAAGGAGGAGAACATCACTATTTCCTTGGGAAAATGATTATAAAGTATAAGCATACTCCATATATGTAAAGTGGCTTATTTAAAAACATTTAATATCAAAACATTTATCTGTTTGACTGGGCTTTAACTCAGAGTTTAGCAATCTAGAGTGACCATGCAGGGAAGCTGGTGATTCGGCCTCCAGGGCCATATCCATTCTCCACTCCCTTGGCTGCCTTTCCCCTCCAGACAGTAGGAGGTGATATTGCACACAAGCTAAGGGTGCAGGCTCTGGAGGCTATCTAGGTTTAAATGCCACCTCTACTACTTTTGTGATCCTCTCAAGCTGCTTAACTTTTCTTTATTTCAGGTTGTTTTGTTATGTATTTTAGAATTAGATTAATTTCTAGTTTCATGGGGTACACTATTGAAAAACACAAAGATCTCTGTCCTTGTGTTGTTTGCATTCTAGGACAGGGATAAGACAGTGAACAATCAAATGACTCATAGTAAACACATAAACACATAGTATATGAGCAAGTGACTAGTGCCATAGGAGTGCAGTAAAGTAAGGAAGGGTAAAAGTAATGGCAAATGCTGAGCGGGTGGGTGGCATAGTGTAGCATTTAGTAGGTAGCTGGCCTTCCTTGTTGAGAAGGTGAGACGTGAGGAAGTCAGTTGAAGGAGGAAACGGAGTAAGCCCAGTAAGTCCTGGGATAAGGGCCCTGAGGTCCTACCTGGTGTGTTGGACAAGCATCCTGGAAGCCAGTGTGGCTGCAGCTCTGGGAAGGGGAGTGGGTGTGACAGGACATCAGACAGACAGTGTGAGGCCAGGTCACTAGCACCTTCTAGGCTACATGGGATGAGGTACCAGGGAAGAGGGAGGAGTTTCCATGCCCTCCCAGGCTTCTACAGTGAAATGGATTTAAACAGAGGAGTGACAAGACCTGATTTACAGTGCGAAATCTACTGTGTTGAAAACCACCACAAAGCACCAAAGGTGGGAGCAGTCAGGCATTTTAGGAGACTTTGGCTGAGATGCCAGTGAGAGGTAATGATGTCTATACTCGAGGTGGTAGCAGTGGTGTGGGTAAAATATGATCAAGTTTCATATTTATTTTGAAATTAAAGCCACAAGATTTCCTGATAGGCAGGATGACTCTAACATTTTTGGTATGAACAATGGAAAAGATAAAGTTGTCACTAGCTGAGAAACTTGTAAGCAGAGAAGATTTCAGGAGAAAGATCTGGAGTTCAGTTGTGGTGATGTTGAGTTAGAGAGGTCTCTTAGACTCCAAGGGAAGAGATTGAACCAGCACTTAGATATCTAATTCTCGAGCTCCAGGGAATAGAGAAAGAATTTGAGAAATAATCTGGACATTATCTAAATATATGCATCTTAAATACATTTAAAGCCAGAAATTTTGGTGGAGATCATCAAAGGAGGGAATAAATAGGATGAAAAATTTTTTTTTAAATGATGAATGTCTGAGCCCTGGGACACTGGAATTCTAAAATATTTGAAACATTACAACCTCTGACATCAAAACTAGTTTAATTATGAAGCTGATGAGGCTTGAGTCTTGGGCTTTTCCAGGGCCAGAGCAGGGGCCCCAGTAATATCTTTTTAAATTGTGCAAAAGTCAGATGTTTTAATCGCACCTCAGTTAAGATCACTGTCCCTTTTTACTCCACCCTCTCTTTTTACATTGGACTTCTCTTGTGACAGAGGGTCCACTTTTTTTTTTTTTTTTGGAACATCTAAGAGAAGTTGGAGACATATTTGGTTCAAGTGTGTTAAGTCTATTAATATGGTTCAGAGTCATTTCATGTATAATTAAGCATTTGCTACCTGTCACGGTCTGGGAATGGCTTCCAGGAACATTTCTAACTTCCATGATGCCACTTCAGCTGGGGTCATGACACCAAGGTGCAGGCCCAGAGCTCCTGGTATCTTACAGGTTCTAGCACCAGATAATAAAGGAGAAACAAAGCCTGAAATTTATGAGGCCAAAATCTTTTCTGGAAAGTTCTTCTAATCATCAGCGTATAAAATTGTGATGGGAAGATTTAATTCCCATGGATACCTAGTCAAAACAGAAGTTCTCTTCTATCAGAAATACACTAGAAAATGGAAAGAACACATAACTATAAACACCTCTGACTTTTTCTTTTCTTTCTTTTTTTTTTTTTTTTGATGGGAATTGGTGTGAATGGAATTTGTCAGGATTCCTGTGGCTGTACAAACTGATAGTAGCACTACAAACTGAGTCTATATATAACAGTTTATTTATAAAGGAAATGTGATAGAGGCTTTCCCAAGTTTGGCAACAATCCTAAATTCATAACGAGTTGTGAAAATGAGGGGAAAAAATCTAAACTATTAATGAGAAACAAATTTTAATGAAAAAAATACTGAGGAAATACTGAATTATATTTCTTTTGTGAAACTCTACTGAACAATGTATGGAAATTGATACTGACAACTGACAAATCATTCAAAGGCAGAGGTGATGGGAAAGTATGCTGCCAACAAAAATAAGGTGTGGATATGTGGTGCTGTGATATATATACTGGTTTTCCTCCATGGTTCCTGGCTTATAACTTCCATAGCCCTTAGTCTTTTGTTAGACTATTGGGTGTGCTAGGCCTCAGGGGCAGGCCTCTGAGCTTCTTCTGCTCTCCTTTCACTTTAATGTTCTTCTGTCTTTCTGACTGTGGGCCTTAAGACCCTCCTATGAGAGGGACCTACCCTGTACCCTGGGGAAAGGAATGCTGACATCATGAAGCTTCCATAAAAACCCAAGAGGACAAGGTTCAGGGAGCTTCCTGATGGCTGAACACCTGGAATTTGCTGGAAGGTGGCAGGCCCTGGGAGGGCATGGAAACTCCACCCCCTTCCCTGGTATCTCACTCTATGCAGCTCTTCATCTGTATCCTTTGCAATAACCTTTATAATAAACTGGTAAAGGTAAGTGTTTCCCTGAGTTTCATGAGCCACTCCAGCAAATTAATCAAACCCAAAGAGGGGATCATAGGAACCCCAACTTGTAGCTGGTCAGTCAGAAGCTCTGGAGGCCTGGACTTGCAGCTGGTGTGTGTATAGGAGGGGACTGAGCCCTCAACCTGTGGGATCTAACACTACCTCTGGGTAGAGAGTGTGAGACTGAATTAGAGGACACCCAGCTGGTATCTACTGCTTGCTATTTGTGGGGGGAAACCCATATATTTGGTCACAGAAGTCTTCTATGTTGATTGTCGTGGTGTGAGACTAGAGGAAAAATGTGGTTAGAAAGAGTTTTCCCTACACAGGCTGGAAATTAAATAAATTCATGAAAAATAAGTTACTACGTTATTTTTCTGGATTTTTATATTTGTGGTACTTGCTTTTATATGTTTATAATTTGTTGTAATTTCCTTTCTCATCTAAATAAATATTCACTTTTGTACTTAATTTTGTATTAGCAGTTTTGTATTCTTTTCCTTAAATAGACCCTGTAATCATATAAGCTTCAGGCCATACAAACTCTGAATTTATTTATGCCTGGTACATCATCAGCACAATACAAACTAGACCTTCTTGTGCATTTTCCTCACCATTCATGCTCCCCACAGCCTACAGTAGAAGACTGGTGTTTAGCCTCCACTCCCAACATGGCCACCTCCATAGCCACTGGTCAGCCAGACCCATGGCTGATAGGGGATCTTTGCATGATTCCCAGTGTCTCATCTTGCTTTCCTTTAAGCAATCTGCTCTCCAGGGTGACGTTGTTTCCTATGCCATGGAACTGACAAGTTAGCAGCCACTGTGTGTGTGTGTGTGTGTGTGTGTGTGTGTGTGTGTGTGTATGAGAGAGACAGAGAGAGAGAGAGAGTGTGTGTGTGTGTGTGTGTGTGTGTGTGTGTGTGGTGGAGAGAAGGGTCCATGGGTCTCTAGCTTCTAGAGATAATCATGGGTCAACAGGAAGAAAATAGGTTATCTCCTGCCATGGTGAGACAGATTTATATTTTTTGCTTCGTAGAAGCCATTATTGAGTTGAAATATACTATCACAGATTTTTGCATATTTATGTTTGTAGTATTTTGAAAGCCAATGTGCACTTGAATGACATACATTCATCATTGCAGTAGGTGCAGAAACAAGGATTTGTTCTTGGTGCAGCACGGGACTATGCACATAGTAGGCACACACAATACGTATTTCCTAAGTGCGAAACCTCAGGTCAATATTCTCTACAAAGCAAGAAAAAAACTAAACCTACAATTGTCATAGGGAAGAAAAATGTCTATTAAATAGAATAAATGAACTAGTTTAAGCACATCAAAAACAACTACACAGAATTGAAGAGCAAAACTTATATCTCACACATCATGACACGTTTGCAAAACATTTTTCCAGGGTGCCACATTTTTCCAGTGTTGCAAATATAGTGAATACAAAGTAAATGACTGAGTAAAAAGTAATAACATCTTTTAAGAACTTATAAAATGACATGTAACTTTTCCCAGTCAATATAATTTGGGAAACAGTAAAAGTAAAATATTTTTCTAAGCTTAGAACATGCAAGACAAGCTTGAGAAGAACCTGCTAAGTTCAAACTGCATAGCATGTTGGGGTTTCCGACTCTGAATGTAAAACATACCTCTGAAAGTGTAGTAATGAAATTTCCAAATATGAGGGTTATTGGTTCCTAAAATGGAACGTCAAGTTGTCTTCTGCAATCTTGTTCTCTGCTTTTGGAAAAATGAGTAACTTCGTCTAATGGTGATTGGAAGGTGAACTGGAACCCTGTTTGAGGGCAGAATGATGACAAATTAAATTTTAATGCATGCTTTGAGGTGAAGAAATGCAGTACTCTTCAAAAATGGGGAGAATAATTTGAAAACAACAGAAACTGAATTGTTTGTTTTCTACAATCCCTACCTGAGTGATTAGGAGCTATGGTATGTTATCATCTCTCACAGAATTTTACTAAATAGAAACTGCTTTTAGTTTAATAAGATGGTAAGCTTCACTAGGATTTACCAAGAACTTGAGATAATAGAAGGGAAGTCTTGAGCCATGGATTCTAGTCCAGAACTTCCGTGTCTTATGTGACTTTGGATTTCTGACTTTAACTTCTCTAGGTTCCAGTTCTTTTTCCATAAAATAAAGGGGTTGAGTTTGATTAAATGTTATTAAACCAGACTCTGTGGTCCTCTCAGAGGTTTATTAACAAAATTCAAATAATCCATGACCACCTGAAAATTATACGTAGAATTTTGTGTGTCTTTGAGTTTTGCTGGTTAAGTAAAATTTTCAGATTCTCAGAGTTTTTTAAAATATAGAAATACATTTTAATTAGATGATATCTGAGGGCTTTTTAAAACTTACATAAATTCATTTTATACTGCTGTACAGTATTTTTAACTTCATGGTCAGGTATTCTATCAGAACACTAGCAGGCACTATATTAATTCACAATATTAATTGATAAGCTGTCTTATTTTTTATTCTGGACTGATGAGGTTAGTTGGAGTTATTGTGTTCTTTGTCAGAGACTAAGAAAAAGCAAATGTCAATTAAAATGCAGTAGGACAATGACAAAATGAAAGAAGATGAAAGGAAATTGTGTTAAATTAGCTACGTGCTCCATCTTTGAACTTGAATGGCCATTTCTCAGACATTTTCTTGACCTCTTGAAATAAGCCTCTCAATTGCCCCTCCCCACTCCCTCATCTTCTATCTGTACATCTTACAAACAGTTATATAGAGCCTACTGTGTGTCTCCACCCAAAAGGCAGGGAGTAAAGCATGAAAACAACAGGAGCTGGCCTTGATTTGCACAGATTTATTCTTCCATAGAACAAGGTCAACCTTACCCATAGGCAGGTTAAATGGCTTTCTGTATGAAGTGATGTAAAAGTCCCTGAGAGAGGGGCCCCTGCCCAGAGGCACCTGGTTCTGGCCCTGTCAGGTGCCTGCAATGCTTACATTAGTCACTTATTTTTATTAAGGCACTGAGAGTCTCCCTGTTACAATGCAAAGGTTACTAGGGAGGGAAAACAAATTAAATCATTAGCACAGATGAGTTAAACACATTAGCTTTACCCTGCAGGTACAGAAAAAGGATACATGAGGATTGATTGCACTGTGCAGAGAAAAGTTCTAGAGATCACTGAAGATATCTCCTTTGGGATATAAACTTTTTAATGTCAAAAAGTTTTAGAGCCTCACATGACAGTATTTTGGCTTCTAGAACAATAATGCGCATCATTTACTAATGCATACTATGTACCAAGTGTAATACGAAGCACCTTACACACATTTTCTCCTGTAAATCTTACAACAGCAATACCAAGAAGATATTTTAATCCCTATTACACGAATTCAGAAACAGAGTGTTCTGGGAGGTTAATTTTCCAAAGATTACACAGATATTAAGTATAAAACAGATCAGGATGCATCCACATCTCTCAGATTCCAAAACTTGGAATCTAGAGGTAGTATATTATACTGCTTGGGACTTTTAAGTCCTTGGTTTACTTCACCAGTTTCTATAGGGAAGTTTCACAATCATGGCAGAAGGCAAAAGGAACATCTTACATACCTGCAGGCAAGAGAGAGAGAGAGAGAGAGAGAGAGATTGTGCAGGGAAGCTCCTCCTTATAAAATCATCAGATCTCATAAGACTTATTCACTATCACAAGAACAGCACAGGAAAGACCTACCTCCTTGGTTCAATTACCTCCCATGACACATGGGAATTGTGGGAGCTACAATTCAAAATGACATTTGGGTGGGGGCACAGCCAAACCAGGTCACTCTCTTAATTCTAAATTAGTTTTCCCACCAACTCTTTGGTATTTCTTTTTCAATTGTCTTTACAGGTTCTTCTTCCTATTTTCATTGATTTAATTCTTGTGGTCCCCAGGGTTCCATCCTTAGCACTCTTCTCACACTACACACTCTCCTTGAAAGTCCTCACCTCTTGGATGGTAGTATGATGAGGAGTATAAACTTTCATTAATAGCATAGATCTTTGTTATGAGCTCCAGATTTCTATGTCTACCTGCCTTCTGGACATCTTCAAGTCCAGACTTGGGCATCTCAAACCCAAAGTATTAGTCAGGATTAAGTTCAACTATAAATGACTGAATTTACTCTCAGAGGCTTAAATAAAATCAATGTTTATTTATTTTTTTTCGCATGGGCATGCCAAGGCTGAAAAGGAGTCTCAAGATACTTTATCTCATTGCTTCACCATCCTCAATATGCAGCATCTACCTCATGGTCTAAGATGGCTATTACAGGTCTATCCAACCTATCTATATTCCCAGGCGTGAGACTCAGGAAATGAGAAACAGGGAGAAGAACACCTGCGGGAGGAGTACCCAACAGCTGTGCTTGCATCCCACTGGCCAGAACCTAATTATATGTTCACATCCAGCTGCAAGCAAGCAGAGACATGCCTAGCTAAAACATGGTATTTATTTTGGAAGGAAATGGGTGTTTGGGGCCAGCAAACAGCCTCATTAATCCTCAGCATATTTAAAAATAAATTTATCTATTTCCAAACAACAAAATCTGCTTTTCTTCTTCTGCTTGCTCTCTTTGTAAATGGTACTACTATCTACCCAACTGCCCAATTCAGAACCCTCCTCCTTCTTTACCTCCTACATTTAGCACGGCCAAACACTATTGACTTTACCTCTTCAATACACCTAAAGTCCATCTCCTCTCCTGAAATTAAAATGCACTTCCCTAGGTCCTACCATGACCATGTGCCACTTTCATAACTCACCATGTGCCACTTTTAAACAATCTTTGTGAAGTCAGTTCAGCTCCTTGTTTATCCATTACCTACTCTATTGACAAAGCCACTTTTTAAGCATAGCTTAGATCACAGATAGACCTATTGATCATCCTCCGATGGCTTCTTAAATCCTACCCAATCAATTTCATGTCCTTCACTGAAGCCTTATTGCTTATTAATACTCTCTGCCCTCTCCCCCTTGCTTTTTGCCCTCTGCAGTTTTGTCATCCAGAAGAGGTTTCCAGTTCCTCAAATACACTGGGCACTTTCAATCTTTGACCTCACATCCCAGCTCATTACTTGGAATGTCCTCCCTCTCTGCCCACCACCTGGATCCTAAATCCTGCTCATGCCTCATGGATCAGCTCAGGGTCATCTCCGTAAAGAAGGCTTCTATAAAGCTCACAGGCATGAAACTTTTGTTTTCCTATAGCATTTCCATCACACAATTTTCTACAATGCATTCTAATTAATTATTTTCTCTCTTCGCCCTGTCTTAGTCAGTTTGGGCTGCTGTAACAAAGTATCATAGACTGGGTAGCTTACAAATAATAGAAATTTATTTCTTACACTTTTGGAGGCTGAAAGTCTGAGATGTGGATGCCAGCACGGTTGAGTTCTGGTGAGAGCCCGCTTCCACCTTGCAGACTATGACCTTCTTGCTGCATCCTCTCTTGGTGGAAAGAGGGCAAAATAGCTCCCTGTCGTCCCTTTTCTAGGGCCACTTATCTCATTCATGAGGGTTCTACCCTTAAGGGCAAATGATTTCTCAAAAATCCCAACCTCCAAATACCGTCTTGGTGGTTAGGATTTCAACATACGAATTTTGAAAAGACACAAATATTCACCTTCCCATTGTACCTTCCCACCCTGTGGACACTAAGGAACAGATTCATTTGTCTATTGATCTCCAGTCCTTAGTATGGTGACTAGCACGTAATACTTTGACAATAAGTAAATGAGTTCCAGATATTTTTCCTACCATCTGGATTTCTTCTCTGATCAATCCCTGGGTACTCCAAAATACTAGTCATAGTTTGTTATCCAGACCAAGTAGTCCTGATATTTCTGCTCATGTGTACACTGGACCAGAATAACCTACCAGGGAGAAACCTCCAACCTGACCCTTATTCTTTATTTGCCTCTCTGCTACATAGCAGACATATCCATATGTAGAACATTTCAAACTGAAAATACCCCATTGTAAAACTATACATTCAGTTCTTATTCTAGAAGACTTATACCCCATTGTAAAACTATACCTTCAATTCTTATTCTAGAAGACTTTATTGAGTTCCCAAATGTAATAAAAAGCTCTTAATCACTAAAAAACTAATGTTTGTTGAGAATTAACTCAGAATTAATTCAGTATTGCAGCCCTCCTGTGTGCCAATGCTGAGGATGCAATCATGAGCAAAAACAGTTTCTCTTCTTATGGAGTTTCTTCCTTACTCAGGAGAATGTCATTGATCAAATAATTGCATTAATAAAAGTTTAATTACAAACGCTGAGAAGTACCTTCAATGAACTGAAGACAATTCTGTGATTGTGTGTATCAAAGAACTGTGACTTATATGAGGTGGAGAAGAGGAGGGTGAAAGGCCATGGTCAAATGGATCAAGGAAGTATCGAAGGGATGCATAGGCACTAAGTGGTGAGATGGTGAAAATGAGAGGAGCAAGCATAAAGTAAGAGTATTGAGACAGACGGAATAGCACATTCCAAGAACCTGTGGTAGAAGGACTCCCAGTGCTTTCAAGATAGTGAGAGGAGGCTGATATAACTGGAACATGTATAATAAGAATGAAGAGGTGGCACTTAGCCATCCTAGTAGAGCCAGTTCAAATATATGGGTCTTCAGAACAATTCTAATTAACTGCTTTATGAGATTAAAGCAGTTAAAGAGGAAATAACATGCTTTTCAGATAAAGGATTACCCCAGGGCTTGACAGACATGATAAGAGAAACTATATATGGCTTGGTCTGTAACTTCAATGAGCTTACAATTAAGAACAAGATATCTTAACACAAACAATTATGTATTAAGTAATGACCGACTTGTTTGTTAATGATTCAAGGAGCCAAGGAATTCAGAGATGGGCTCATTCTTTTACTTCCTCTAAAGTTTGTTGCCCAGTGAGCACTAGGATAGATAATTGTCCTAATAGGAAAATGTACTTTATTTCACGGTGTGTTTATCTGTCCAGGAGATCTTTCATGGGTATTTTTCTTATGCTAATAAATTATTGAAAGTTATAAATGGGGAGTGGGAAATTATCAGCAAGGACTTATAAAATACAATCTGTCCCACTCTGAAAAGACCAAACAGGATTTTTTCCAGAAAAATTACATTTAATTAGCTCTATATTTGCTACTAGTAGCAGATGGGATTTAAGACTTTAAAGTAATAATACGCAAAAGGCCAAAATGCTCTTGAAACAAGTGCTAACCTTTGCCACTGAACAGAGTGTGAGATGCTATTGATGTTACTGAGGCATGAAGGCAAGAAGTGGGAGTGTGACCTGTTCTTTTGAAGTCACTAGGAAAGCAACTGGCAGTGACCTGCAGGCATACATAGATTTAGGACTATGATGTTCTACAGTCCAGCTGCATGTCCTTGCGGAAATATACCATAGCCATGGCCAGGCTGTGCGAGTGTGAATACAGTTATTAATGCATAACTAGTTTAATAGCTAATTCTTAATGAATGCTTATTATGTCTTGGGATCTGCTCTACATAGTTCATATGTATTAACTCATTTAATTCTTAGGAAAACATACAAAGTAGGTATAATTTGCTTCATTTTGTAAATGAGGAGTCTTAGACACAGAAGGGTTAAGTAACTTTCTCAGGGCCTCACAGTTAGGAGAGAAGCCAGTATTAGAATCCAGGCAATTGGTCTCCAAAGTATATCCTCTTCGTGAAAAAAATGCTACAGTGCTCTCATTCATGTGCCTACTTCAATGGTTAGTGCAAGAATTAGCTGTTCATATGCACCAGGGAGTTTAGGACAGTTCCTGGCACATAACAGTACCCATATTTGCTTTGAATATTTTCTCCTCCACCTTGCCCTAGTCTGATAGAGATGACAGAATTGTCATCCTTATCTTTTCCTTCTATTCTGGTTTCCTCACAGTTCAACTGACTCCCAGCAACCAGAACATTGTCAGCTAATATTTGTTAATTAGCTGCGTTTTGTCTAATTCTTTCAGGTGACTGTAGGATAGGAATGGGGAGGAGGAACTCACAAGCACATTGGTGATTTAAGAACCACAGGGATGCACACTCCATCCAGGCCGGGATTATATGGTATGAACATGAAATATTCTAGAATAGCAAGAAGCCTGAAAGCATCAAGTCTCCTCTACACGCCACAATCAGATGTTCGCAAACTATTTCCCAAAGAAGGAAGTTGGGGGGTGAAGATGGTAAACTACAGACAAAACTGCATGAGATGTGGATTAGCGAAAAGGAAATTCAGATGTGGGAAGAGAAATCAGAAGTAAGCACAGGGCAGTTTCATATCATGACATCGTACACTGCATAGTTGATAAAAAGACTGTGCCACAGGCGACAGGTGAGGTAATGACATATTAACTTCAGGACCATGGCTTGAAGGCAGGGGATAAAAGATAACCTGTGTATGTATTTCCAGGATGAATGAAACCATAATCTCTCAAAGTCAAAGATACTTGGCTCTGAGTTCTCTCTGCCGAAGAAAGAGATAATATCATCAAAAGCCAGAATGTTTTGTCAAAGGTCTGGCTGTGGGGCTAGTTAGTTCAGGGCGACAAGCTGCAAGTACAACTGATAAGAGGCAGAAAATAACGAAGACCATGGAAGCTTCCAGAACAATGTCTTCCAAACAGCGAGACTGCTGAGGGTCGAGGCTCTCTGGAGCCTCAGGTTCTGGGAATATTTTGCAACAGACTGCTGCACTGCTTTCGTACCATGTGAGGACAGGCTGGTATTCTGCAACGGACCCCAGTGGACACACAGCTGGAGCAGAAACAGCCGCAGAAACTAATAATAGAGCAGCCTGGAGCACAAACACAATGGCTGTGAAAGTCGTGGTGGGCGACACAGACCCACAGGGGGACACGTGATTGTCACTTCTCCTGCCTCTCTCTCCCTTGTCCTGATTAGCTGTAATAACTCTGATCAGCTTTCAGAGGCATTCAGACACGGTAGAAGAGCTTTGAAATGGATTCCCTGCTCAGGTCTCTCCTGGTCTCAGGGTCTGGAGGAAATGCTTTCATTTTGCCTTCAGGTAACATTTTCCAAAAGTGAGAAATATTGGAAATAAGCGTTTATTCAGTTCTCACTGTGCATTAGGCACTTTACATCCTCTATCTCATTTAATCTTCACCACAACCCAATGTGGCACTAAATCTCTTTCTAAAAGTATTTCCATTTTTACACATAAATAAATGGAGGCTTGGAGAAAACAGTAACTTGGCCATGTCACACAGGGCCATAATTCAAGTCCAGTTTGTTTGGATTCTAGAATGTGTGCTCTTCTCTTCTCCACTACTTTTTGGATGGTGGTTTTTAATAAGCAGAGTGTTTGGGACAGCGGAGTTTCTATTCTAGTCTATTATCAGCGAACTGTTCTAACACAGCTCTGTTCCATCAATGCTTCCAACTCCTGCTGTTTGTATACCACAGTATGTAAAGGTCTGTAAATATTTGTAAGGTTCCAGCCCTCGAGAAAGGAAAATATAAATTTGGGTGGGATTATTTTAGCCAGACCCTATCCAAAGTGATTTGTTTTTACCTTCCAAGGGTAATCTCACAAGACAATTTAACATTTACTAAAAGCTTACTATTTTCTTGGCATTGTGCTAGGAGCTGAAGATAAAACAATTAACAGGACACAGAACTTAGACATCATTAGAGGACTCGTGATGCTCAGTAAACAATTAACCAACCTTCCTTTCAGACACACACTTCCCCTCCCATAGCCTCACCTCAACAGGGATTGTCAGAGCTTGCTGGATGCCTCCTACTCTTACTCAGGATGCTCAGAATCTCTCTTCCATCACCCATAGAGAAAAAGATGCCTGAGACATGGGATCTGAGCCCTCCCACCTGAGCAGTGGTTGCCAAGGACTCTTTCTCTCCTCCTCTCCCCACTTCCACCACAGCTGCCCTGTGACCTCCACTGCCCTTGCTCCCTCTGCTCACCTGTTATAAGGACCAGGAATTATGCTGAGGACACACAGTATGGAAACTGGGCAACTTAGATGTATCCTATAGCGAAATATAGCCTTATATATGAGAAAACAGTTTTAAATAAATGTTAATATTCCTGTGTATCCCCTACAGAAATAAAAGATGGCAGTTTAAGTTAATAATATATCCATGCTCTATAATATTTTATCATGGGAAAATAAATTTTGAATTCCTAACAACCAACTTTAACACAAAATAAATTAGACCCTCTCATCAATTGTGGACTGGCTACACATTTTACATTTAAAAAATGATTTATCCCACTTAAACCTGGGAGGTAGAGGTTACAGTGAGCCGAGATTGTGCAACTGCACTCCAGGTTGGGCAGCACAGCAAGACTTTGTCAAAACAACAACAACAACAACAACAACAACAACAACAAAAATGATTATTTTATTTTAATTTATTTTTGAGACCGAATCTCACTGTCACCCAGGCTGGAGTGCAGTGGCACAATCTCAGCTCACTGCAAGCTCTGCCTCGCAGGTTCACGCCATTCTCCTGCCTCAGCCTCCAGGGTAGCTGGGACTACAGGCACCTGCCACCACACCCGGCTAATTTTCTGTAGTTTTAGTAGAGATGGGGTTTCATCGTGTTAGTCAGTATGGTCTCGATCTCCTGACCTCGTGATCTGCCCGCCTCGGCCTCCGAAAGTGCTGGGATTACAGGCGTGAGCCACTGTGCTCGGTCAAAAACTGATTTATTCTATAGCAGTATAGAAATGTCTGAAAGTGGTATAAAATGTCAATGAGATAATCTAATAGAAAGTAAAGGACAAAACTCAATGAGAATAAGCAGGTTGTCTTAGGTCCCATAGTGTGTCAGGACTATCCACATAAGGATGGCGTTATTCCCCAAGCTTTCACCCTTATATGAATTTACAAGCTCCCTCACTTATTCATATAAGGCTTTGGCTCCTCCTTTTCCTCTGCAAAAAGAAAACGGAAGCACTTGCAGCACATGCTTCAAGGCCATGATACAGGACAAAGTGAACAGTTTTGTGGCTGTTTCTAGAATATTCTCAGCTATTTACAAAATATAAAATTTCTGAAATAAATTCATTAGGTTGGGATTATTATGCAGATATCTAAGAGACATTCATTGCTCTGATTTCTACTCAAATGCCTACCAAAAAAGGTGACAAATTTGGTCAAAACAGTGTTGATACTTCTTTTCAATCAGCAGATTAATACAGAGGCTTCCACTCTCTTCTTTCTCTGTCTCTCTTTCCCTTTCTCTGTCTCTCTTTCTTTCCCTTCCTTCCTTCTCTCTTTCTTTCTATCTCTTCTCCTTCCTCCCCCCCCTCCCCTCCCGTCCCCTCCCCTCCCCTCCCCTCCCCTCCCGTCCCCTCCCCTCCCCTCCCCTCCCCTGTCCTTCCCTTCCCTTCCCTTCCCTTCCCTTCCCTTCCCTTCCCTTCCCTTCCCTTCCCTTCCCCGGATGGAGAGGAACAAGGTTGATTTGTTCTTTTGTAAAAGAAATTATGACAACATCTAGTACATGATGACTGAGGTGGATCCTTTGTAAAAGGCATTAGCAGTCTGCCTAAATCACTGGGATCTCCCCAGAACAAATGTGAGCAAATTCCCTTTCAAATGAATTTATTCTAGCTTCCTCACTAAAGAATTACATAACACAATCAGCAACAAATGTCTACCAAAATTTCACCTCAAGTGGGCCAGGAAGAAAATCGTGACAGGATAAGGATGGTGACATGGGAGGGCTGATGAAATAATTCATATTCAGCACCCAGGCTTTGTCAGGGCCTTGGTCTTCACAACGAGTTTTGAAACAAGCATTTTGAGACCTATTATATAGGAGAAGCTGAGAGAAGTCCTAAAACTTGTCATAATCATAAAAACAGTAAGTGATGAAACTGACATTTGAACTTAGATCTTCTGACCCCCAAAACGTTTATCTTTTCTGCCATGTCACAGAGGAAAACTCTAAGATGGCTAGACATTTTTTAGATCCTTGGTGAGACTTTATGGGAAAATTTACCAACTCTATTGAAAAATTGAAGAAGTCTCCTCTAGGTTGGCAAACCTTTTTTGTAAATGGACAAATATAGAGAATAAGATCTATAGGTCAACTACTGAACTTTACCATTGTGGCATGAAAACAAACATAGATAATAGTAATTAAAAAAAAATCAAGGCTGTGTTCCAATAAAACTTTATTTAAAAACAGGCAACCAGCTGATTTGGCCAGTGGGCTGTGGTTGGCCAACCCCTGCTCTAATTTAGATGAAATAAATTGGAATGTTTCCTCTAAGACAAGGCTTCCAAATCAAGACAGTGAAACCAATGTACCAATTTTCTGAGAAGCAGTTCTGGCAAAACTAAAGTCTCAAGCCAGTCTAAGTTCAACCAAACTAGTCTTCTTTTTCTAACTCTCAACCTGAAATGTAAACTATTTCATTCTAATACCTCAAAGGGGGCATAAGAGCAAGAGAGGAGAGATATCATGTGAAAAAAATAATCTATCATTTGTGTGGTCATATATAATGAAATATACTGGCAAGAAAATCCAATTCTTCCAAGATCAGCAGTGGAAAATGAATCTCATTGGTATATATCTGTTTACTGGAACTTTGTAAAGTTTTTACTCTCTGGCTTGGTTAAAAAAACTTGGATGTTGAAATTAATTTATCTGGATTTCATTTTCCGTCTTCCTCCTATTTTGTGTAAATATAATCCTGGGCCACATACTTAGAGTTTTGTTTTTTTCTCTCTGTCAGTTGAAGGCTCTTATGAAAGCAAGACATTAGCCACCATGCACCATGAAAAACAAGCTGCCTCATCCCTTCTCCAAAGATGGTCTTCCTTCTGTACTCCTACATTCAAAATTCCTTCCCTGTGTTTACTGGTGTCTGTCTGGCCTCTGAACCTTACCATGTAGATCCACATTATTTTGAGAACTTCCTTGGTAAGAGAACCCTGAGATAAGCCGCTCCTGCTTGGGGTCTAGGTGCCACCGAAGCAAATGCCATTTTACAAGAAAATGCCATTTTTTCCTACTAGTAGTTGAATCCAGTAGTTCTTAAATATAAAACTGCCCAATGTAACTTGATAACATCATGACAATTTGAATTTAGACTCCAATGCAACATTTGAAATGTGCCTGGCTTTTATGCATATGTTTCAAAAGGATACTCTGTCCAGGAGGATAGGAGGAAGCCTTAACATGACCATTCACTCTTCATGTGAGAGGCAATCTTACCCTGGTTTTGACCATCTTTAATAAGAAGCAGACCTGTGCCCAGCTGATCCCACAAGATGGAAGACCTGAGGACCACCCTTCCGGAGAATCAAAGGCAAAGGTTGCTCATCTGGTGAGTGCTGCTTTACTTTCACTTGTTGAGATCCATTCCATTATTGGCCATTTCTCCTCTGATGGACAAGAAACTTGACCAGATTCCTTGAGAACTTGTAGGTTGTTTGAATATGTTTGCTTGCCCATCTCCGCTATCAGAGTAAGCATCAAACCCTGCCTGGAGTGGAGACAAAACACAGGATCTTTATTGTTTCCACTCACTGGATCTCTGGAGAGCAAGAGGTGGCAGTAATGTCTGCTTGTGCACAGCCCAATTGTTGTGAGGCAGGGTGTCTATGTCAAGTCCCACTCATTTAGTTAAAAAACAAAAGAAAACAAAACCCGGCTTAGAATTTTACCCTTGGAAATCGAAATGTGATCCTTAATAAGGCTAAAACAAGGCCCCTTAAACTAATTTGGTGGCCTGAATTAGCTCTTCCTGGCCTGGACAGACCTACTCTGTCAGGTAATTGGTTTGTGAGTTGATCGAGTCAACAAAGTAGTCATACGAGCAAGATTTTGTTGGAAAAAAAAAATAGAAAAAAAAAGAAGGTATAGAGGGAAGACTTAAGTAGTAGTTAGGGATTTTACCATCTGGTAACTAGTTTAGAATTCCTAATCTCCCTCCAATATTTGTTATAATTTTGGATCTAATCCTAAACTCTTTTCATTTTTCTGCATTTGTTAGGTATGTGTCTTATCTTCAATGAAGAACTTTGTCTATTCTTAGCACACACATTGTCAAGAGCTGCATATTTCTGGCAATTTTCTAGAGAGTTGATTGGCTGAAACTCCATGTCATGTAAACTCACCAGAGGAAGAGAAGATGTTCCCATTCAGCCTCTTGTAACAATGATCCCATGACTTATCATGAGATAAGAGTAGGGCTGTATCTAGAAGAATGATGGACATGCTTACAATGTGGAGAGAGATTCGGACTACATAAAGTTTGTAACAGCTTCCTCCTATTAGTTGTCTTCAAGATATTCCATTAGCTACTCCTAGGATGCCAATGCCATGGGATTCATAGACTCCTCTGTTAACTTCTAAGCCAAGTGGGTGTCCACTGCATTATACCGGACCCTAGGGAAGCCAGGATTACTAAATGTGTGGTTCTAATACCGGCAAATCTCTCTTATAACTGTACTACTGGCACCATGTGGAAGGTTAGAAAAGAGGGGAAAAAAGGAGCAGCGTAGTTAGGAGTTATTTTCCTTGCTTCCATTTTCAATATTTCCTTTCATTCTCATTCTTATGCAGTGAATATTTACAAAACATCAGAATCTTTTGCTCAGACGATGTCCATCTGCTCCAACACCTTATTTCCCACCTGAAGCCCCAATCGCCTGACGGTGACGTCATAGGCATTTCCGTCTGGAGTCAGTTATAATTAGGACTCCAGGTGAAAAATTAACAGAAGAAACAGATGGGCCCATAAGAGGCAAAGAGTCTGTTCACATGCAAATTTCATCAGTACTAGAAGATTGAAGAAAACTGTAGAAAATAAGAAGGCTCAGCCCCCAATTGAGACTTCTGTATAATGTAGAATGTCTGCTGGTGTTATATGCCCTTCTTCAGGCCATCAGGGAATACTTTCCTTCCTAGTCACAAAGGAGGGTGGGCTGGGGAAAAGCCCAGCAAGCAGGCCATTGCAATTTATAGCTGTTGCCTTTTAGTGCAGGGATCTGGGTGGAGGTAGCACTGCCTAGGCATAAAGAAGTGGGTGTTCGCTTGTTTGCCTCAGAGGGAAGAGCCGCATCCCAGGCGCTGTCAATCTCGATTAGCTTCTTTAAAGAACTTTTGTGTGCGACATAAAGTAAAAATGATACAGTAGTGCAAAGTGGAAAGCAGTAATTGCAGATTCTTCTCAATGGGTGTTTTATATTATTGGGACCCTGTATTATTAACATCACTGCATTATGAGTTAAGCATAAAAAAAATGTGATCCTTTATTTGTCAATGTACATGGCTCCAGGAAGCCTGTGGGACCAGCTTAGGAATTGCAGAAATGGGAAATAAAGGAGAGATAGAGCCGCAACTCTCAGATCTCAATAGTGGCTGAGGTCTCTCTGTATTTATAGGGACTATCTGAACTCACCATCCTCACCCCAATCAAACTTTTATGCAAACTGTCATTATTTTTTCTCTTTCACATGGGGTTAGCAGAATCTACCATCACACAATGACTCATATGCATACCTTTCCCTTTAATCCATTTATCTATTCTAATCCTTCATTCTCTGCTTTAGTAGTCAGACTAGTCTCTTTATTTCTGATGTCTTTCTCTTCCAATCTACTCTTAAAAATTCCCAGAACAATTTTACTTAAAGACAGTTTTGGTCATTGCTTTTCCCTATTCAGATCACTGTTGCTGCTTCCCATAGTGCTGAATGAAAATACAACTGGAAGTACAAGCTCTTTGAAAAGGGTTTGAAAGCATCTACTGAAGCTGAATGTATGCATTAACTTTGACTCAGCAATTCCACCTTCAGATTGGAATATCCTCAACAAAGATGTGTATATTGGATTGTCAAAAGACACATACTGGAATGTTCATGGCAGCACTATACATAGTAGCACCAAGCTGGAACATGAAAATGCTAATAATCAGTAAAATGGATAAATAAATTGTGATATATTCACAAAGAGAACAATATATGGGCATGAGAATAATCTATAGCTACACACAGCAATAATGATGATGAAAACAAGTATTATGTTGAGTAAAGAAAGACACAAAGTACATACTGTATGATTACATACATATAAAGAAAAAAACACAAGCAAAGCTAATTTATGATTTGAGTGATTACTCATATGGGGGGTGAGAAAAGGAAGGGGCAAAGGGAAGCCAGTAGAGTACTGACAATATTCTCTTCCTTCACGTGGATATTGGTTACATGGGTTTGTTTGATTTTTGAGAATTCACTGAGGTGTACACTTACAAAATGTGCACTTTTCAAAATGTATATTACACCTCAAAAAGAAATTAAATTTTAAAACTGTAGAAAAAATGCTACAGAATTCAAAGCTTTTTTTCAATCTTGCACTAGGTCCTTAAGAGAAGGTACAGCATCTTATTCACTTTTTTATCTCTGACATTTATATAATGGTAGCTGACAAATAAAAAACTGTTTGAATGAAAAATGAATAGATGGGGAAATCTGAAAAGATGACAGTTGTGGTGTGCAAAGTCTTCAGTCTTCCTAAATCTCCACATAAAAACAGACGAACTAGATAGCAAAACTAAAAACCTATGTCCAACATTTTCAACAAAGCTGGGTGACACCATATGGGCACGAAGCCAATATAGGGACAAAACGCTGATAGGACAAGTCTTGTATGTTACTGGCATCTATGTGGAAGAAAACAAGGAAACCAACAGGTTATGTGATGAACCTGAGAATAAGAGAACCCCCAATAGAAAGCAGGCTTCACTCAAAAGTGTGGCAGGTAAATGTAAGGACTCCAATAGCAGTGACTACGAGACAGGCCCACGGAAAGAACAGAGGTTGGAGCATAATGGGATCAAGGAACCAACTTGCCCCGCGCTCAGAAAAAACTGCTGTGAGAGGAACCAAGATTGAGCAGGATTGGGCCAATGCATAGAGAGGCAGGGGACTGTACAAATGAAAGTGTAGGGGGTGGGGGAGGCAAAGAACAGAACCAGAAAATCTCAGAATCACAGCTTTAAACTTTACACAAAAGCAACAGAAGAAGCTCTGTGAAGAAAAGCTGTCTGATTTTATTGCACTTGTCAAATTTTAGAAAAACTAAAATCTGTTAATAAGATGAACATCAGAAAAATCTTGCAGTCAAATTTTTCACAAAGTTTCTATGAAGACAAGAGAGACAGAAAATTGAACAGAATAATATCCCTGAAGACAATAAAACAATGTCATAAACACATGCTCACAGAGGGGAGGTGAGTCAAAGTTGTAAAAGAAAAAAAAAAAGAGAATTAGCTAGGATAATGTAAACATGAAAGAAAGCATAAAGAACATAAATCAGAATTAGAATATTCAAAATAAAGTACAAAATCATGAATTAAAAATTAAAGAAGGAAAGACTAAAATGAAATGAACACAAAAGAAAATAATCACAACAAATAATGCCTACAGACATAAAATATGAAAAGAAAGAAAATTTTACAAATCAAGAAGAAATAAATAAGAATTTGAGGGAAATGGACAATTATTAAAGATAAGCAAAAAAGAGCCAACCTATAAATAATAGGGTTTTCTGAAGAAAATAAAAATAAAAAGCTAGCAAACATTAATAACCATAGTTCAAGAACAATTTTTTTAAGAAAATACTTAAAACATTGAAAGAACACATCACATACTTAAGACTATCAACTAAGATACATCCTAATAAAATTCCTGAACTTTAAAGAAAAAGAAAAAATCTTTTTGTCATCTAGACAAAAAGGTTTTGTGACCTACAAGATAAACAATATTGGATTATCATCAGATATTTTCACAGATGATTTATCCCAGAAGAATATTGAACATCATATTTTAGATATACAAGGAAAGAAAATCTGAGACAAGAATTTTGTAATTAAAAAAAACTGCCACTCAAGTATAAAAGGACTGTTACTAGCATGCAAGAATTCATGTAACATTGTCCTATTGTCCCCAAAATATCTTCCTAGGAATCCATCAGAGAACAAACTTCAGACATCCCACATTCCTAGAAATACCAATTTAAGAACTGGTGGTGAGTATTACCTGTATAGCTACTTCTAATATTAAGGCTAAACAAGGTTTAAAGAAATAATATAATTACCATGTTATCTGAAAATGTAGTGCTAACTGAAAAAAAAAATGACATGGAGGTTAAAGGATATAGCATTTATTTGAGAAACAAACAATTGCATATTGGGTACACTGAATCAGGGCAGCCCTGAATAGTGTCTGAAAAGGCAAGCACAGAAGAGATTTTTTGTAGAGGGGATTTCCATAAAAAGTTATTTTTGGAGGCAGTTGATTTGCTAGACAGGGATCTTACATTGCACAGCCATTCTCATTGGTTAATGAGGGTATTTCAGCTGAGAAATGTTGAAGGCCTATGGATACTAACTTCAGTTGTTTATCCAAGGCTGTGGGGACACACTGCAGTCTGGCCATTAGCAGGTGTCAATGCCACCTTCTCCCCATCTCCTGACTCCACCTTAGAAAGCTTCACCTTAGTTATTTCATTTTCTTTTGTAGTAGATATAGTAAAATCTTAAGAAAACAAGAAGAGAATGAAATATAAGAAATGGAAAAGGAGGATGAGGGTATACTTAAAAAGTGACTATTTTCCATAATTACAATTAGGGGTAGTATCATTGGTATTGTTATTCTGAGTGTGCAAGTTGGGATAAAGCAAATCAGTAATTTGGGGACATTCTAATTCATGTATATATTATATCTGAGAACTAAAATTTTCAGGATGGAAGGAAAAAAAATATAGATGTAACTGTCAAGAACCGTGAAAGTTCTGCAATTTTACCCTACTAGAAAGTTACTATACTAGGATCCTACTGCAATTTCATGGATGCTGACAGAACGCACAGACTTCTGGGTCAGAGACAAAAGGATTTAACATTTTACATATGCACAGCAAACAGCGTGAGCACTGTGTTTGTATCAGTCATCTTTGCCCCTCTAAACCAACAAGGGTGATACAGAGAAGCCTAAATTGTGAGTTTGCATCACAGCTAAGTAACCTGGAGTTTAGGGAAACTGAATCTTTTATAATAGGCTACAAACAAACCTGCTTGTGATGGTTAGTTTTCTGTGTCATCTTGACTAGGCTATATAGTACCAGATGATTTAATCAAACACTAATCTAAGTGAGCTGTGAAGGTGTTTTATAGCTATGATTAACATCTGCCATTAGTTGGCCTTCAGGAAAGGAGGTAATGCTTTATATTGTATATGGGCCCCACTCAATCAATGAAAGAACTTAAGATAAAACCTGGAGGAGAAATTCTGCTTCAATATTGCAACATCAACTCCTGTTGAGTTTCTAGCATACTGCTGGCTTGCCCTATGGATTTTAGACCTGTCAATTCCCCAATCACATGAGCCAATTCCTTAAAGTAAATCCCTTTATATATATTCTATTAGTTATGTTTCTCTACAGATCCCTGACTAATACAGTGTCCTTTGTCCTGGATAGAGATATGTTTATTATACCGAAGAGTAAACAAATCTACCCTTTGTCCACAGGGAGATATTATCTTTATTTTTCAGGTCTGTTTACTATACAAATATCCTTCAAAAAATAGTATAGAACAAAGACAGTCAATACCTCTGTATTCAAAATTTTCAGAAACATGAGAGATCCATGGAGAATTATTTTCCAACAGTAACATCGAAGTAAAAATCTTGTTGTTCTGATTTCGAATTGGAAATGTCCATATGAACTCACAATATATCATATATGCATTTTTTTTACCTAGTTCTGTCCACTGAAAATTTAGAAAAATGTGACCAACCCAGTATAAAAAGCAAATCCAGACTCTGGTGTTAAAATTCATTCCTCAATAGGAAAACTAAGGATTCGTGGAGAAACAGCTGATTTCTTGCTTGTGCCTAGAATATCTTGACATCAGAGGGCATGGGACATGCAAAAGACTAGTAGGGCAATGCACACAGTTTCAAGGAGCTGATATGAAGTGACTTCTACATGGGACAATTTGAGCTTTTTAATAAGGGTAAGAATTGAAATCAATTAAAGCTCAAGGTAGTTGGTCACCTGAAGATGACAGAGAACTAATTTTCTTGAGAACTAGGTAAATAAAAGGAAAGATGTGTCATTATCCCTTGTTAGCCTTTCTTCTGTAAACTGATGATACTCTTGGACAGTAAGTAATCAGCCACAGGTCACATGACTTACCATTGGGAGAAGGCAGGATTGGGTTCAGTTCCCTTTCTCTTGAGTAAATCTATATTTCTATGCTATATTTAAACTTCTCATAGGATAATCACAATTTTACTTTTTCTTTGTGGCTTGAGGAAAAAAGATCTCAGAAGAAGGCTTTAATCAGTCAAGATAGACTAAGTTTGTGTATGGTAACAAATATTCCCCAAAACTGGATGGCTTAGTAGTGAAAGTATATTTCTCACACATGTTATTAATTAGTTTCCCTAAGGGTTCTGTTCTTTGTGGTTACTCTTGAACACAGACTAATGGAGCAATGATCACCTTGAACATTGATGGTTGTTTGTGTCAGAAGAAATGAGAGCTCTAAAAATTCTCACATATACAATCCACAGCTAAATGCTTTAGCATGCAAATAACATTCATTACATAGGCTCATAACTCATTTCAAAAAGAACCCCCAAAACTAATAACATTGTCCCAACCAACCACAAAGGAGCCAAAAATTAAAATCTTATCATATGCTTAAAAGGAAGAAAACCCAAATATCTTTAGTAAATTGCATTACTGATCCCTGAAATATTTAACTTACCACTTCTTAACTTTCCACAGTTCTATGTCCAGAAACAGAAAATATCAGAATTGTCAATGTAATATATACCTAACAGGGCAAACCACAATGGCTTATAAGGAAAGTCACACACTCAAAATTGAAGTTTTCAACTCTTGTGCAACTGAAGAGAGCCCCAAAGATGCAGGAATCCATACAATATTAAAGAAGTCAAGATTTGAGAAGGTCTAGATTTTCTCTCTATATTAGTCCATTCTCACACTGCTATAATGACATACCTGAGACTGGGGTAATTTTTAAGGAAAAGAGGTTTAATTACCTCACAGTTCTGTGGGTTGTATAGGCTTCTGCTTCTGGGGAGGCCTCAGGGAGCTTATAGTCATGGCAGAAGGCAAAGGGGAAGCAAGCATATCTTACATGGCAGGAGCAGGAGGAAGAAAGAGATGAGGCAGGTGCCACACACTTTTAAACAACAAGATCTTGTGAGAATTATGTCACAAGACAGCATTAGGGGGATGTTGCTGAACCATTAGAAACCATCCCCATGATCCAATCACCTCCCACCAGGCCCCACCTCCAACACTGGGGATTTCAATTCGACATGAGATTTGAGATTTGGGCAAGGACACAAATCCAAACCATATTACACCAGTTGACACTGACTCTGCCACTCTCTATTGTCTTTTACTGAGAAAATCATACATTCATGCTCTCCGCTTGGTTCCCATAGGCCTTTGTGAGTGTGATGCTGGTGTTGGAGGACACATTCATTGTCAGAGAGCTCTTGGGATGTGCTTAAATTATACAGTCACATCTCCTTGAGATGTGCTTAAAGTCTACAATAAACAAACATGCCCTTCTAGAGGAACACAATGAAACCAATTTCTCATAAAAGCAATTGTTGACTCCAAATGGAAGTGAGCTCAATGAGTTGAAGTAATTTCCTACGTCAAATGTTTAAGAAGATCCAAGAGGTAATTGGACCTCAAGTCTCTATTTTGGATTCCTGAAGAGGACCCTACTAGTCTATGTAGCTATAGCTCATTTTGCTTTCTTATGTCCCCGTTTTTGTAATCACACAAACTGAGACAAATTGAGGAAGGGGTCAAGCTTCCCATTAAGACCTTAGGATTCACCTGCCCCCTCTGTTCACTCTTTTACAATGATTTTCTTCAATCATTCCTGCTCCTTCTATTTCCTCTGACTCAACTTTCTGTAAAATAATAATCTGATAATGGTAAGTGGAAAACTCAGGGCATAGAATGGTCTGCATGTAAGATTGTAGTCATGCAAAATTATATGTGACTGAGGACTGAAAGGGAGTTTTAAAAATAAATGTTTTTTATCTTGATTTTTAAATTTTTCTAAAACCTGAAATCATCAATACAAATTTAATTTAAAAAATTATGTAATATCAATATGTGGGTTACCTCTTTTAGGAGTATTTTCATGTGAATTGATATTTGTTTCTCTTTTCCTGGATCTGTCAAAACAGCATTATGTTATGAATACTGGCCCCCTCTGTTTTTTTCTTGGGATGACATTGTGCTACCCATATGAGAAATGTATCAGCTTTTCTCCAGCCTGTACATGGAATATTAGTGAAGGTATTTCTGGGGAGAGGATTTGAATAGAAACCAGGAATTGCCATACACATGAAAGTGATACTCCATACTGAGGTTTTCTCCCTATTCAGAGATTAACATGGGTTTGGAGCTGGGAAAGGTCTAAGAGATCACCTAGCACAGCCTCTGCCTTTTATATATGTGGAAGGTAAGCTAGACACTGTAGGTTGGCTAACTCAACCTAATCACAATCCCTTTCTTCTACCTGCCTCTACCACAGAGATGAGAACAGCTAAGCACGTAATTTCTCAGCCTCTCTTGCAGCTGGGGTATTGATGTGATTCTGTCAAATGAGTGAGAGAGTCTGCTGGGAGCTCCTGAGATGGCTTTTCCTTTTGCTGATGAAAGAGATAGAGGCAGAGAGCTGCTTCCCTAACCTTCTCCTTCCTGCCCTAAATGCAGACCTAATGCCTGGAGCTGTAGCTTGAGTATTGAGACAATAAGATGAGGCCAGGAGAACTGCAGAGTTGCTGGCCCTAACACTATTGAGCCGCTGGAACAACAGTTGAGGATGCTGATGATCAGATACCTTGTTACAGGAGAGAATAACCTTTATTTGATAAAACTGCTGTTGCTCCGTTTTTTTGTTGTTGTTGTTTCTTGCAGCCAAAGTATTCCTTCAGGAAATTGAATTCCAAACAGGTAAAATGATTTAACCAAAGTCATGCAGTTAAGTTCCTTGCAGAACTGGGGTTGGAATCCAAGCTTAGAAATTCCCAACTAAATATACCCTCTGCATTACAGCTCCTCAGGAGAAGTCATTTTGCTGCAACTGCTAGTGAAAATGGGTTAAGCTGATTCATGAGCCCTCTGTCTAACTCGATTTTTGGTCAGAATAAGTTGGAGAAGCATTTAAGGAGAGGAAAACATAAGAATGCTTGAGTATATATTATTTAACACAATCTACACTTGCACTATAGAGAACTGAAATAAAGATTCTTTTCCTTTTGTCCCCCAAAGCCAATGTCTATATTTATTAAAAATATTTAAGGCTGGGTGTGGTGGCTCATGCCACCCGGCACTTCGGGTGGCTGAGGCAGGAGGATTGATTGTGGCCAGGAGTTTTAGACCAGCCTGGGCAACAAAGCAAGACCCCTATCTCAAAAAAGAAAGAAAGAAAGAGAGAAAGAGAGAGAAGAGAGAGAGAGAAAAAGAGAGGAGGAAAGGGGGAAAGGAGGAAGGGAGGAAGAAAGAAAGAAAGGTGGAAGGGAGGAAGGGAGGGAGGGAGGAAGGGAGGGAGGGAGGGAAGAAAGTGTGAAAGCAAGCAAGTCAAAACATTGAGTTAAAAATGAAGGACGTTTGAAATTTGAGTCTACATTCTCTGGCTGCTTTCTGGGTATGAGAGAATGAGAGAGAAAATAATGCTACTACTTAGACTCACAAGTTCCCTCACATAGTAAGGGAATTGTCTGATTCTCTCCATACTGAATTGCCTGCTTTATCAAAATGGTTTGATAGGCTACTATTGGAACAAAAATTCACGCTCTTCAGTGTACGGTAAAACAAAATGAGAGCTCAATTTCTCTGCATGAGTGAATGCGAATTAAGAGCATTTGGAAGAAGCCCTAGAAGGGGGTGATTCAAACGGACTTTTGGTAATTAAAATAAGAGATGCCTGAGCAATATGTCTTCAGACTGAGGCTTACTAACAAAAAAGACAATAAAAAATTATTCACAGACAGAAGGACTAAAAGCTTTTCAACAGCATGAGTGTTGTCACTGATATCTTACCTGGACATTTAAAAGAGTGCCACAGACAATTCCTTGAATTGATAGCACTTTAAAGAGTTGGGGGCATGATGTTAACAAAGTCCCCAAGGACCCCGGCATTTTGGAAAGCCTCCCATTTCAGAACCTAAAGTTGGAACCAAGTCAGGACAGGATGTAAGGAAACAAGCTGTTCCTCCAAATGTACTCGAAGCAGAGGGGACTACCCAGGGAGGAAGATGGTTGGGAGCAGGAGGGAAACTAACATCTGGTTGGCATCTGGATGGCTCTGGCCAATTGAGCAATGTCTCTGGGACCCAGAGCCTTCATTACAAATTAAAAAGGATTATCACTAATGACTTCAAGGAGCCCTTTAAGCTTTGAAGCTCTGTAAATTTACTTTTTTGAACAACTTTCCTGCTCTATCCGATGGCCAGCAAGAAAAGTTCTCAAAGTTTAATAAACATCCTAAGTGCCTGAAAATTAAGTTCAAGTTCAAGGATGAGGGCAGAAACAGACAGGGTCCAGAGTGCCACACTTCAGAGTTCAGAATCTCAAAGTTCAAAAATGCAGAAGTGAGTCAGGAATCAAGTTATCAAAATGGCAAATAAGTCACATCTAGGAAAATAATTAATGCAATACTTGGTCAAGAACCCAAACCAGGGTCTTGGTGACAGCACCAGGCACCAGATGCAAAATGGGTATTAATTTAAGGCTCCCTGAAATATCTCCCCAGCTATTTAATAGCTTCTCATGGGAAAGGCTCTTTATCAGTTAAAGCAAAACAAGACCAAGTGAAAGAGGAAAAACACTGTATGGAAAAATAGATGACATAAGTCAATCTCTTTCATCTCTAGGAAGGTGCCATTGAAGGAATCAAATAGCAATACATTTGTACACACATATATGAGTTCCATACCTATAAAAATATTCATGTATCTCAAAGGGAAGTTGTGGGCTGTCTTAACACCTTGAATTGTGAGGAGACAGAAACAGATGTACAGTAAGTTAATGGGATGGTTTCACCGCCTGCATTGTCTTCTCTTCCTGCAGTTGGATTCCAGGGAACGTTTAGCATAATATATAGCAAAGACTCTCTGTCCGCCAGTACAACAGCAGACGGGGGATATTTACAATTGAATAGCAGTCAGTATGGGGCCCTATGGAGCAGAACTACTGCAGTCAGTTCATTATTTACAGTTCCCAATGACAGGATTCATTGTTCCTATTGTGGTTTCTCAGCTGTCCTGGCAAGTGAGCAGTCCCAGAAAGGCTTCATCAGGGACCTCCAAATGCTAATGACTCCCTCTGCGTAACCAGATTGGCCTTACATATAGACAGGGCAAGTAACTTCCTATGTGGCATAATGTCAGGGCCCTCCAAAGACCCTTGGATCAAAAAATATCTCTGCTACTGCCTGACCCTGATGTCTGAAAATCTGTAGAATCATGGCCCCTGAGTTAAGATTCTGTTTCCTATTCAAAAGCAAATGTAGTTCAAGCCAGTATAACCTATTAATAACTTAGTGAAAAATACCACAGTCTATCTAATTTTAAATCACAGTTTCTGAGCTGGGCAGATGCCCAGTGATCACGTAGAACAGAGTTTAGAAAGTATAACCCACAGACTAAATCTAGCCAACCACCTGTTTTTGTAAAGAAAGTTTGATTGGAACGCAGCCACATGGGTTTTGGTTACGTAGTGTCTATGGCAGGCTTGATGGTCCACAAAGACTAAAATATTTACTACCTAGCCCTTTAACAAAAACATTTGCCAACCTTTGATCTAGAACAATTCTCTCATGAGGAAACTGAGGCCCAGAGAGGGCAAGGGACATGCTCAAAACCACTGGAGTTATTTCTGGTAGAGCTAAGCCTTAACCACATCTGTGGACTCAAACCTTACAGTCCCTTTCCTTTACCAGAGGCTTGAAGAGGCAAAGAACAGATTCCCACATCCAGAGAGAGTGTGGCCCCTTTGACATGTGTCAGGTTGGGTGTTAAAGTTGTCTATAATATAAGAACCAATAGGTGTTGGGATGAAGGAGCCCCGAAGGCTTCTCCTGTGAACTAAACACATAAAGATATAGTCCTATGGTCCAGGGACGCTGTGAGTCAGTTTGCTTACTCAGAAGGGTATTGAGCCATTTTGCAAATGGATGCAATGGAACATGAGTTTTCCCTGCACTTAATCAAGAATTTGAAGACTGAAAATAACTTCCGTAGGTTAAATTGAAAAGCTGTTCATTGAGGAATCTTTTCTTTAACATTTGACCATGGTTCTCTGATCAGGGTGCATAGAATCAGAGAAACTCCTCTACTGCCATGTTTGTACTTTTGAGAGTGTGTGTTGTGTGTGAGTGTGTATTTTAAGCAACTGGATTTGTTTAAAAAATTAAATCTTACACAGAACTTCAATAGGTAAAATATATAAAATTGAAGGTGTCTTGAGGGATAAAATATACAAAATTGAAGTTAAAATTTTAGGTTTTCCTTGATGCTCATGGATGTTCTAAGGACTCCAATAAAACCATAGCACCCTATACATCATATTGAGAAAACGCCCATTTATTCTAAATGTCCCCTTAGTCTCTTCTATATTATGCCTAACAATTGGACTCCCAGCCCATATCTGAGTTAGCCCAGAAAAAAAATGAGCTCGTTAATTAATTAACTCACACCCCCTTATACCCCCATCCTCCTTTCATATAGATCTTACTATTAGAAAATCCTCTCATTTTTAACTCAAATATCCCTTCCTATACCTTCCCTTACATTCTTTTCTATGTTTTCCTATTCGCAGTGTGGTCCCTGGACAAACAGTATGGGCACCAGCTTGGAACATGCTAGAAATTTTTAATCTTGAGCTCCATCCCAGCCCTAGAGGATAAGAATTTACATTTTAAGTGAATCCCCAGGGGATTTATTCATACAGTGAAGTTGAAACAACGCAGACAGCTGGAGCACAATAGATAAATAGAGCGCAATAGATGAAGTCAAATTCTTCAAGGCAAACTGAATACATGAAGTACAATGATCACATTTCAATCAAATAAGCACCAAATTATGCAATTATAAAAAGAACTAATATTAAGAACAACACTTATTGAGTGGTTCCTGTATGCAGAGTGCTGTGTCCAAGAGGCACTGAGAAAACAGAAGGAAGATGACAGAACTCCTGACCCCAAATAACCATAGCTTAACGGGAGACTCAAATGTGTGAACACCTACAGGTGACACAAAGGTATAAAAAATGCTCTGGAATTTCAAACATGGTTGGGACAAAGAGTTCATTGTAGAGATGGCAACTGAAATCATGGCTTAAGCCTACAGAAGAGTTTTCCAAGCTGGTAGCTTTGAAACAACATGAGTAGAAAACTTACGCATGGGCATGCAGTCATAAAAGGGCATGACATGTTGGGGGAGCTATTGTAGGTAGGTCCTGATATGGAGCCAAAGAGCTTGCTTTTTAATATTGATGTCTCTGTGTAATCCCCTCTCCTTGAGTATGGGGTGGAGCTAGTGACTTTCTTCTCACACATAGAGAAGGCAAAAGTGATAGATGTGACTTCTGTCCTGCTGGCACTCTCTCTTGCCCCTTCACTTGCTGATGAAGCAAGCCACCATCATGTGAGATGTTCAGTGAAGTGATCTGTGTGGCAGTGAGCTGAGAGAGGCTTCCAGCCAACAGCCTGTGAGGACCTGGGGCCTCAGTCCAACAACCAAGCAGAACTGAATGCTGAAAAAAGCACAGGAGCAAACCAGGAAGCAAGTCTTTCCTACTCAAGTCTTATGGGGACTGAGGCCTTGGGAGAGACTCCAAGCTAGAGGACCCAACCAAGACACACTCAGATTCATGGCCCACAGGATAATATAGATAGTTGTTTTAAACTGCAAATTTTAGGGATAACAGGCTACTCAGTAATACATAAGTGTGGGTAGGCTAAATATGGCCCCCAGATATGTGTTCACATCCTAATTTCCAGAACCTGTGTTTTCTTCTAGGGCAAAGACTTTGCAGATGTGATTAAGTTAGGGAATTTGAGTTGGGCAGAGTATCCAGGTAGGCCATAAATAGAATCATAAATATCTTTATAAGAGGGAAACAGAGGAAGATTTGATACAGACAAAATAAAAGGCAACGTGACCACTGAGGCAGAGATAGGAGTGATAAGGCAATGAGCCAAAGAATGCAGGCAGCTACCAGAGGCTTTAAGAGGCAAAGAACAGATTCCCACATCCAGAGAGACTGTGGCCCTTCTGAAACCCTGATTTCAGCCCAGCAGTTCTGATACTGGATTTCTGTTGTTTTAAGTAGCCATTGTTACAGCAGCCCTTGGAAACTAGTATAATACCTAATAAAGGAGATTTGACAAGTTTAGTGTGGATGGTGTGTAGGATACATTTGAGGATTTTGTAGAGAAGATAATCCTGAGAAGGTGAGCTAAAGTCAGAATACTGAAAACTTTGTGGTGCTAAATAAAGAATCTGTATTTTGTCTAGTAAGTTGTAGACAGCCAATTCTAGGGGGTAAAAAAGGGGAAAAGCCTTTCCCTTGGCAGAAAGTGCCCTGATTGGATTATTTTAAAGAACACTACAATGACATTTAAAGATCATTCTGGAAATGTGTAAGATCAGGGGAATTAGTGCAGCAGATTGAGTAAGAACTAATATGAACCATAGCAATTCACCAGAAGCATTTATTGACACAAAGTATTTTCCTCAAGAGGAGGGTGAAGAGAGAAATATATTTGAGACAAAGAGCAGGCTGTGGGGTGGGAGTGGGTGGGACATGAGGACACTGAGCATCCTGAAGCAACCAACGGCATCTGGGACTTCCAAGCATTCCACAAACAGACCAGTCCATGCTACAGTGATGCCAAGGTCAGGGCTCTAGACAGCCTTCTGGCCCATCACAAAGAAGTGAGGCTTATTTCCAAAGACCACAAGTGGGAACACTGACTTTCGCTTGTTGATCAACTAAGTTAAGGCAACATTTTGTCTTCAAGGGCTTCAAGAAAACTGAGAGCACACCAGCAATACAAGAACTTTGTCAGAATGACCTCAGAAAGATCAAGGTCATACAGATAATTTGAGATGGGCAGAGTATCCAGGTAGGCCATAAATGGAATCATAAATGTCTTTATAAGAGGGAAGCAGAGGAAGATTTGATACAGACAAAATAAAAGGCAACGTGACCACTGAGGCAGAGATAGGAGTGATAAGGCAATAAGCCAAAGAATGCTGGCAGCTACCAGAGGCTTTAAGAGGCAAAGAACAGATTTCCACATCCAGAGAGAGTGTGGCCCTTCTGAAACCCTGATTTCAGAACCTTGACTTCTAGTAAGACCGAAGGCAGAGTGGTATGGGCTCAAACAGATCTCAGCAGCTAGTCACTGGTTTTGTGAGCTTCTGCTGATGAATTATTCTCTTTGTTCCTAAGCCACTCCATTTCTGGGTCTGCAATTTGGGGCTAATACCATTAGAATGTAATTATGAGGACAAATAAGGGAAAATCAGGTAAAACATTAAGAAATGATCTCCCAGAATGAGAGCTACTGATATTCAAATGAATCCCAGAAGGAATATAATATATAAATATATTATCAATGTATTCTTACCTTATCCAAATCTTTTATTGATTAGCATATTATCTACATACAGAACTATGGGTTGCTAAGTAAATAAGCCAGTCATAACAAAGAATGAAGTGTCTAAATAATTATATAGTTACAGGTATACCTAGTTCTATTAATGAAAAGTCATAAATAGTTGTATGTAAATAATATTTTTGTAAGATAAATCACATAAAATACACAAAGGCTAGATTAATGTTTAACTAAACTTATTGACCTAATTGTAAAAGTCATATTCACACCTTGATTTGTCTTTGAAAAAGTAAAACACAATTTACACTTCTACAAAAAGAAATCTAGAAATCTACTTTCAACTGAGTAGGAATAACAAAGATCTGGATAAAATTTTCTAAGCATTTAATTATAGGGAGAAGCTTAGGTCATTTTTGAATAAGTTATTCAGTCCCTTGACCTAATAGCTGGTTTCAAATACTTGACTTTAAAATATGAAATAACAATAGCACATATTTTCCTACAGTGCTTTTCAATTGATGGCACTTACACAAAGCCACAATTCCTAACTCTGTATTAGGCAACTGAAATTGAATATTTTTCTGAGTAGTCTTCTAATTAAAAAAAAAAAATGAGATCAATGGATGAAAGTTTCAGAGAAGCAGATTTTGGCTCATTTAGGAATTCTACTAATTATCAGATATGCCCCAAATAGAATGGGCTGCTTCGAGTTGTGGAAACACCCATGAGAAGAATCAAAGAGCAGCTAAATGAGTACACACCTCAGAAAGATGTTGAAAGGAGACTCCAGTAAACCTGGGTAGTCAACCTGGTAGACCATTAAGATTCTTCCACAGCTCGAATACATTATGATTCAATGACTATTTTTATACTGATGAACTAAAAATATATACTGGTTTTTACACATCAATAGAAGTATAACATCTCAGATCTAAGCCTCTTTCAACTAAGAGAGAGAGAGGCAAAAAGGAAAAGTAAAACTTCCCATTCCTACTATGTCCACCTCATTCCTGGAATTTATAATACCTCCACACATATCCCCACTCACCTATTCCACTTCCAAAATGCTAGGCAAATCATAATAAGTGCTATTTTAAAAATTAAGGAAGATGTTCATAAGGTGCTAACCAACACAGAGAAACTACTCAATGGGCAGATTTTCATGTTAAATTGCCTTTAATATCACACTATTATTATCTCCGTATAGTTCAAACACCAATAAAAAAAAAAAATAAAATTAAAGTAGACCTCCAGGAGGCACTGACATTTTCACAGGAGAAAGAATGAGACTTTAGTGCTTTCTTTGCTTACTAGCTTTCTCTTGCCTACATTTGATCCTTCATTTAATAGAAATGTTTCAACCTTCTAATGTCAGAGGTGGCCCACTAAGCCAGGCAGGAGGGGACCTGCCTCTGAAAGAAATATGTAAAGATAGGAGGTCTTAGGTAGTGGTAAATGCCAGAAGACATCTTCAGGACACTGTGCTGAAAGGGAAAAAACAAAACTTTTTCATAATCTATAGGTTGAACTATATGAAATTGCCATTTTTCTAAGTGAGAAAAGATTGAAAGTTGGCAAGTTCACACAATTCAAATTGGATAAATGGGGAAAAAATAGGATTTGTCTTTGAAGCTAAATTTGCTTAGAATCCTTACAAAATTTATTTAGATAATATGTTTATTGGGGAGGGGGAATGCCTTTGGGGAGACTAATGTAGGTTATGGGGTATCCCCAAACTTTCTAAACTTCCTCTTGTCATCATCAGGAACCATCAGGAAAACGCAGCCAAGTATCAGGTATCATAAAGTGTACAATGTGCATGAAAATTTGAAAGGCACAGGTGACACTGAAAAAAATTGACTCCCTAATAATAAAGTGGAAGAAAAATGATGCAGGTTCTAAGTAGATGAAGTTTGGGGTTTAAGAATTAAGACTTAAAAACATTCAGAATTTCTGCTAGGGCTACCCTTTTGTCAGTATCCTAGGGTACTCTATAAAGCATGAGGGTTTGGTGGTAGACTAGTTGCATTAACAGATACAATGAAGGGAATCCCGGTATCCACATAATTTGTCTTGAAACTAGGTAATCCCCTACCTGCTCTGAATTTGTGCTGACTGAAGTCATAATGTAGCCCTACATTTTTCCAGTCCCTCTCTTACTCAACCTGGAATCTTGGTACTGCCAAGAGAACAAGGTGAACTAGCCATCTAGAGGATGAATGACCACATGGAGCAGAGTCTTATGTTCCAGCTGACCACAGATGCATGAACAAGCCCATCCAAGGAAAATCAAGCCTGACCCAATTTCACAGAAACTGCTCATGTTTCTGAAATTGGTCATTGCTTCCAAATAAAGCCAGGCATGGTAACTCATGCCTGTAATCCCAGCATTTTGGGAGGCCAAAGTGGGCAGATCACCTGAGGTCAGGAGTTCGAGACCAGCCTGGCCAACGTGGTGAAACCCCATCTCTACTAAAAATACAAAAAATAAAAAATAAATACAAAATTAGCTGGGCATGGTGGTAGGCACCTGTAATCCCAACTGCTCGGGAGGCTGAGGCAGGAGAATTGCTTGAACTCAGGAAACGAAGGTTGCAGTAAGCTGAGATCATGCCACTGCACTCCAGCCTAGATGACAGAGTGAGACTCTGTTCCAATTCATCAATAAAAGTTAAAAATAAAGAAATAATAAAAAGAAATTGATTCCATAGTCATACGAAATTGATCCCATAGTCATATCTTGTATGTTTTTCCATGTTCTTCCACTACTCATTTTTTATTCACGTTCCCTAAAACAAACATCTTATTTGGCTGTGGTACCTCATGCGGGGAAGTGACCCAAACCGTTCTGAAGAGTCTGCACCATTAGCAATCTTGGTGACTGTATTGTGTTGTTTAGTTTTCCATTAGCTTTAATCATAGGGCAGGGGAATTGTAAAAGTCACCCCTCAGGGAAACCATTTGTATTTTACAGTTCTGCTTACCCTCAAGGTGAAGTAGCCATCCAATTTCACCTTGATAATCAGAATCAATTATCTCATCCAGTACAGGTAACCCTCCTCTTTGCTTATTAATTACTAGTACAAAGAGCCTAGTGTCTAGAGGACAGTTTCAACTTCCAGTTTCATTATTTAAATGAACCACTGTTTTGTCTTGGTACAAAGAATTCTTCACTTGAGAACTATTTTCTAGACCAGCAGAGCCAAAGGCTGCAGGGAAAAAAAAAACAAAAAGTTTGCTAATCTATCACTAGGGGAATTATAGTGAGACGAACCAATTGCCATAACCATCTCGTCTATGGTAGAAATAGCACTATACATTGGTCACGGATTTAGAACATGTAACATACTCTACATAGCATTTCCTGGCTTTCTAAATATTGCTATCCCAGCTTGCACTGTTATTGAGACCAAAACCATCCCGGCCAGGTGTGGTGGCTCACACCCGTAATCCCAGCATTCTGGGAGGCCGAGGCTGGCAGATCACGAGGTCAGGGATCAAGACCATCCTGGCTAACACGGTGAAACCCCGTCTCTACTAAAAATACAAAAAATTAGCCGGGCCTGGCGGCATGCATCTATAGTCCCAGCTATTCGGGAGGCTGAGGCAGGAGAATGGCTTGAACCTAGGAGGTGGTGGTTGCAGTGAACCAAGATCGCACCACTGCACTACAGCCTGGGTGACAGAGCAAGACTCTGTCAAAGAAAAAAAAAGAAAAAAAGAAACAAATCACCCCAATTCCAACATTCTACAAGGCCAGCTGCTTCAGAGTGATGAGCCACATGGTAAGACCAGCGAATTATGTGAGCATGGTACATTGTCAGACTTCATTGGCTTTTAAGAGTTCA
This sequence comes from Homo sapiens, assembly GCF_000001405.40. NCBI lineage: Eukaryota > Metazoa > Chordata > Mammalia > Primates > Hominidae > Homo > Homo sapiens. The sequence continues at coordinate 52,182,572 of NC_000018.10, read as the reverse complement.
TTGATCAGAAGCAATGCTGTATAAAATGACATCACAGCAAATAAAGCATTCCATAAGTCCAGAGATGTTGGTTTTAGAAGAAGCAGTATGTACAGACAGGGAAAATTCATATCCAGAGGGTCTATGTCAATGAGAACAAAATGCTGCCGCTTCCATGATGGAAGTAGTCCTCCATAATCAATTCATCACCAGGTGGCTGGTTAATCCACCCAGAGAAGGCCACCGTAACAGTTATTTTGTGTCAGTATTTGCTATTGGCAGATTGGACACTTAAAGAATGCAGCCAGATTGGCCTTGGTGAGTGAAATTCCATGCTGCTGAGCCCATGCATAACCTCTATCCCTACTGCCGCTGCCATTTTTGTCATGAGCCCAAGGAATGAATGAGGTAACTAGGCAAATAGACTGACTGATATTCATAGGATGAGTCTTTTTTTTTTTTTTTTTTTTGAGACAGAGTTTTGCTCTTGTTGCCCAGGCTGGAGTGCGATGGCGCGATCTCAGCTCACCACAACCTCCGCCTCCTGGGTTCAAGCGATTCTCCTGCCTCAGCCTCCTGAGTAGCTGGGATTACAGGCATGCACCACCAGGCCCGGCTAATTTTGTATTTTTAGTAGAGACAGGGTTTCTCCCTGTTGGTCAGGCTGGTCGGGAACTCCCAACCTCAGTTGATCCGCCCGCCTCGGCCTCCCAAAGTGCTGGGATTACAAGCATGAGCCACTGCACCCAGCCAGGATAAGTCATCTTACCTACTTGATTATAAAGATCCTCCTTGCTCTTTGGTGAGCTATCACTTTGAAAGCAAGTATATGCACACCTTCTACCTACCTAGTTTATCCACATATATTTTTCTCAGAGCTTCTTGTTATCAGCTTTCCTCTATAACCACTTCCACTTCCAAATTCTTTATCGGTTAGGACTCAGTTAGACCAGCAGAAATTTTAGTAAATAGAAGATAGAATGGGAGGAAGAAAGGAAAATGGAAGGAAGGAAGGTAAAAAGGAAGGAAGGAAGGAAGGAAGGAAGGAAGGAAGGAAGGAAGGAAGGAAGGAAGAAAGGAAGATTTTAGCAATCTGACCTTAATCAGTTGTGAAAGTTGGTTATACATTCTGTGTGATGCTTTAGTTTCTGCAACTGGTGCTGGAGACTAACATCCACAGAGCACACACTTGGGGAGGGAAGACGAAATGAAAATGCAGAAAGCAAAGATAAACTGGATCCTGTGAAGGTGAGCCATGAGGACCAACTGGAACTTGCCTCGGTTGCTTACTTCTCTAAGCCTCCAACTTGGATGGCCTGGGTGTGTGGATCACTTATCTGGCGCAGAATCAGGAAAGCTGGGGGAGGAGATAGAGTGTGAGCTGGAGGAGGAGATAGAGTGTGAGCTGCAGGAGCTGCAGTCCTACTGCTGTACCACCAAGGGTGGGCCAGGAGATAAGCAACGAAATGGGAGTGCTGTTATGGCACCACAGGCTCTGCACAAGCTTCAGAACACAGAAAGAACCAGGCTTCACCTCCTCTCCACCTCTTGAGCAGGAGGAGACATAGTTCAACCTTAGCTCAGTTGACATACTAGAAACTCAACATCACAGACCCTAAGTTTTTAAATTTTTGTTCTTGCTTTTTTTCTTTCACAGTAATTACTAGCTGTTGCAGGCCCTTAAGGGGTTTTGCCTCTGCTTGGGCCTCAAAGAACAATAAATAAGAGAATTCTGGTAGTAACATTAATTATTTCTCTCTAGAAATTAGAAATAAAACACAATGGTTTTCAGTTCATAAAGATTATTTAAAAATTAAAAAAAAATGACAATTCTGAGTGAAAATTAAGAAACCTGCATAAAAGTAAGTCAAGACCCCATGCAATAAATTACTTTCAACACCTTTTTGAATTTTCATGTGTTTTTCCTCCCAAATTTAGTCTTTTCTGTTGCCTTTCTAAGTGATCAGTTTCTGTACCTGCTTGACACCGTAACACCAAATTCAAACAAATGCAGTGACTTTCCTTTCTTTGTGTTATTATCATAGGGCTCATTCTTTTTTTTCTTTTTCCCCACTTCCCCTTCCTTTCTCCTTCTGGATTTTAGCTGCACGTAAGTTAATTGTCTCTGCTTCTTAGTTAATGGTACATTATCATTTTTTATCTCTGCTCTTCTTTTATTTTTCTTATTATTTTATCTTATTTTATTTTATTTTTCTTATTATTTTATCATTTGCATTAGCTTTGTCACAGATCTCCAATTTTATCCCTCCTCTTGCTGCCCCAGTCCTCTAAGGTAGGTAAGGAAAAGGTAAAGGATTCATCTTGGAGTTGAGGGTGAGGTTAAGTAAAAGTGAAAAGAGTTATATGAAGAAAGCATTTATACCAGCATTTAGCAGCAGGTAGTTGAGTTACAACTGAATACATACCCAAGTAAACTTTCATGCTTCTTTAAATTTTAAGTTTTTGAACTTTATAAATTTAAAAAAAAGAACATATTCTCAGTTTCTTTTAACTTAGAAACCCTAAGATTCTACACAAAGGAAATATTTTTTAGGCATTTTAATGTACATTTTATTCCTTTCTTTTTCCTGGAAGAAAACTGATGAAAAAGCTTTTTCTAAAAACCAAGACAATAAGACTGTTTGGCTGGGAAATTTTTATCTCTAAAAAAACTGTATTATAAATTCTATCAGGATCAATTTTATGACCATTATATTACACAGGTTAATACATACATAAAGAGAGGAAAGACTTTTCTCACCCAAATATCTCAATCATTAAGTATAAATGATGGTACTATGAAATGGAAATAATTTGAGTCGGGGAGCAGAGGCAGAAAGGAAGTAAAAGGAAATGGTAATTTTGGAAAATAAGCTTATTTGGTGGTCTGTGAAAAGGCTTTTTCCTGTGTTTCCTTGCTTCTGAATTTAATGCACACATCAACCCTTGAAGACCATAGGTGGAAATAGCTATGGAAATGGCTGTTCTCTCTCAGGCTGCATGTGTTTGCATAATAGACCCATGGTGGCTTCTGTAATCCTTACCACTAGTTTGGGTGAGATGGGGTAGGGTAAGTACCTGTATGGAGAGCAGCTGACAGATACAGGGGGTAGTGGATCCCATGGTGGACAGCCCAGGTCCCCTTTCAGGACTGAGGCGCCCATTGCTTCAGAGCTGCAATTGGTGACTGACATCTCTCAGTTGAGTTCCTCCATGGGATTTGACTTCAGCCCAAGAAAGCCATATCTCCTTTCCTCAGGGTCACACTCCCTCCAGAGGACAACTCTCATTCAATGCCTGGGATGTAGTGAGGTGAGGAAATTAAGGCCCTGCACCCTTGCCCCCAAGGTGGGCAACTATGGAGGGTGCCTCTGGCTGCAGAGCTCCCTGGAATGGAACATCAGGTGAGTCCTGAGTTCTGACTGCTTCAAAATTCAACCTCTCACTCTTTGGAATCCTTGACCCTCTACATCCCTTTGGTGTTTATCCTGAGGCAATTCCATATAAATATTCTGCAGGCAAATATCCATCTCAGAGTCTGCTTCCTGGTGGACTGATCTATAGCCCAGTATCATGTGCCTTTTCCTACAGGAACCTTATACTTTCCTCTGTTGTGATGCTATGAAATTCATGGACATCATTCATCTATCTCCTGCAAAGGATGGAAAACTCTATGAGCAGGAACTATCTTTTATCACTAAACACTGTGTCCTGTATACAATGGTATCTGTTCAAATGTCTATTGAATGGATTAATTAATTAATGTTATATTTGTCCAGATTTGAAGCACAGTGTTTTCCAATAGTGTATGTTCTTAAATTCATATTATGTGGATTGTGATCATTTACTGAGTAAAAAGCCTTAACTACTATTTGGAAGGAACGGACAAGGTATGGGTGAAATTTTTGAGTAGACAGTACTGCAGTTACTTGGACGATGGATACTCACTCTATTAGCATATTACACTTGCCCTTCTTTTTGAGAGGGACAGTGATATGTGTCTACTTGGATATATTAATACTCAAACCTCATAAAATGAATTAAAAGTGCAATGTGAATAGAGATGTGGGAAAGTTTTCAGGAAGTGAGAACGGAAGAATAAAAAGATTTTAGAATTTATCAAGATGAATGGATACAGAATTATATATTTTAAATTTTTTTTTTTTTTGAGATAAGTTCTCACCCTGTTGCCCAGGCTAGAGTGCAGTGATGCCATTTCGGTTCACTGCAACATCCATCTCCCAGGTTCAAGCCATTCTCCTGCCTCAGCCTCCAGAGTAGCTGGGATTACAGGTGCATGCCACCATCCCTGTCTAATTTTTGTTATTTTTTTGTAGAGATGAGGTTTCACTATGTTGCCCAGGCTGGTATCAAACTCCTGACTTCAACTGATCCACCCGACTCGGCCTCCCAAAATGCTGGGATTACAGGTGCGAGTCACTGCGCCCAGGCTAAAAATTGTTTTTAAAATATTGTATGGGGCCTGGTGCAGTGGCTCACACCTGTAATCCCAGCACTTTGAGAGGCCAAGGCAGGTGGATCGCCTGAGGTCAGGAGTTCGAGACCAGCCAGGCCAACATGGTGAAACCCCATCTCCACCAAAAATACAAAAAAAATTGCCCAGGCATGGTGGCAGGCACCTGTAATTCCAGCTACTCAGAAGGCTGAGGCAGGAGAATCGCTTAAATCCAGGAGGAGGAGGTTGCATTGAGCCAAGATCACACCGTTGCACTCCAGCCTGAGCAACAGAGCAAGACTCCCTTTCCAAAATAAATAATAAATAAATAAATAAATAAATAAATAAATAAATAAATACTGTATGGGACTGATCAAAAACTTACTGGGCTATGTCTAGATATGCACTCTTCCCAGAAGTTGTGAGCTTTAACATGAATTCAGAAATTTTCATCTTAAAAGTCATTATGATTGTAAAAAAGCAAGGTAAAATAAGCTAGGGCCTAAAAGTTTTAAAATACGAAAATGAGAAAAATGCATGAAGTGTTTTCTTATGTGAGGTTTACATATTTAATAATCGAAATGTTTCTCTCTGCAGTTGTGTGTGTGTGTGTGTGTGTGTGTGTACGTGTTGGCATGTGTACTATGTAAGCAAAATAAGCCCAGAACTCTTGTAAAACATTTCAATGTAAAATGGAAAGGGAAATTATGAGCACCGTGATTAAAGAGAATTCTGTGTACTTTTCTCATGGCTCCGCAAATTTCAGTAGATGTGACTAATTTTAGTAAGAAATAATTATGACAACAACAATCATGCTAGGGATGCCATCTCACTTTTGGATGGAGTCTGCTCCTCGCTGGTGCTGAGCGGACAGTTGCTATCATGACTCAGGCCAACATGGGGGCTTTGAAAGGAACTCCTGCCCCTCGACCACCACATTTGTGTCAGTCAGCAATGTTGTGATCAGGAGTTGCATTTCCCAAAAGTAGATAGGTTTTGCATTCTACACTAGAATGTGTCCATTTTATAAGCAAATAATTTAAATTGTTAAATAACTTAATATATCCCTTTCCTAAATTTTCAAATGAAATTAACACTCCATGAATACTTATTCTGTGACTTTGATGTTCCAGCTCAGCACCAAAGGTGGTATCCCAGTTTGAGAAGTGCAGACCTGTGGCGAGGCCATGTAGTAATTGAATCAGATGGAAGAGGCTCACTGGAAGCTCACGTCTATTAATGATAAGTGATTTGTGTACATAGCATATGTAACGGCTTGCATCAGCTATATTTCCAAGAACCACAATATTCTATCAAGACATAGGAAGGATGCCTGCGAATTGTTCCTGGATCATACATGAAGATGTTAAATGGAGTTGGGGTTGGATAAAAGAGGTAGCCTGGAACATCCATATCTATGTACTATGTTTTTTTTATCTCTATAAGAACAGTTTAGTCAGAATTGACTTTTGTTCCAATTACAAAATTGGAAGTTTGTCTTCCATCTCTAGCCTCTCTGTTGTCTACTTGTTAGGTTGTTTTTCAAACTGCCTTTGCCTGGGTGCTTCATGTATTTTCCCTTGCCTTGCCTGCCTCTAATTTGTCCACCTTCAATACACATACACACACATGCACGCACACATGCACGCACACATGCACGCACACATGCACACACAATTTTGGTACATTGGCTTAGTGGAGCAACAGTTGTACCAACTGTTGTACCAACAGTTCATGAAACAGTGGGTAAACAAACTCCCAGTTACCTCTTAGGTTTGTCTAACATTTTATAGGACAGGGTGACATTTATAATTAGCTTCCTATGATCTTCTAAAAAGGAGACAATGACAAGAGTTCTCTAAGACATGAAATTAATAAAACAGAGGAAAAAAGACAAAGTGACAGAAGGTATGACCAAAAGCAAAGCAGAGAAAAGTGGAGAAATTCCTACACGTTTGTTCTGCTCCCACTATAATCACAAGGGCAGGGAGGGACACACAGTATCTGAGTGGACTGAGAAAACTGAGTGGACTGGGAGAGATTGTTAACTGGCCCCAGACACAGTCACACTGCGCTGTGGAGTGTCTAAGATTCTGGGCCTCGGATTGGTATTTGAGTACACCTCTCACTCTATTCCATCTATTTCTCAATAAATAATTGATGGTGTGAGAATGGTGTTGGGCAAGTCACTTTCTCACTCTGAATCTCATCTTTAAAATGATGGCATGGGACAAGATGATCTATGAGGTCCCTTTAACGCTAACATTCTAAAATTCTATTATTTTTATAACATAGTTGGGGCAACACACCTATTTCCTAAGTTCTCATTCTGGGTTCATTTTCTACACCACTTACAGCTCCTCCTTAGGCTCCATGGGATTCCCCAAGGCAGTGATGGATGAAAATGGCAGGGAGAACAGATGATGTTCATCTTGCCCTGTCTACCTCCGACTGTGACTGATGGCAGGACACACATTGCTTAAGATCAGATGATGTGAAGGTGGGAATAGTTTGGCCTCTATTAGTGAGTGTTAATAATGGATGGTCTGAAATCTGTTCAGACCTGTCCAACAACTACACAAAGTGAGTCATCATTTGCCCCAAACAGTTTTCTAAGGATGGTTAATATCTCTATGAATTAAGCCAGATAGATACTGTCCTTCTATTGGATACTACAAACATAAAACTCTTAATTTTTTAAAACTAAGTTTCAAACAGTAAAATAGGTTAGGATGTCCTTGTCCTTTTAAGTAAAACTTTCTAGTTATATTCATGCTGAGAATGTTTAATGATAATTGACTTTCCTTAGGATATCACTTACAAAATTATTGCTGGCTCTCCATGGACATATTTCTCTCAGTAAATTTGTCTCAGATTATTAATTTGAGTGATTCCAAAGTTCTTTCATGAGTTTTATTTGGGTTCCTAAGTAAATTAAAATGTTTCAAAGTCTGTTTTTGAAATAACAAATAAGAATGATTTTGTGGGGTGAAGAATGAGGTATGTTTTATTAGAAATATTCTTCAATTCTCCTATTGAAGGACATTTACAACAAATTTCTGATTTTATTTATTAATTTTTTGAGATGAAGTCTCGCTCTTGTCGCCCAGGATGGAGTGCAATGTTGAGATCTTGGCTCACTTCAACATCTGCCTCCTAGGTTCAAGCGATTCTCCTGCCTCAGCCTCCCTCATAGCTGGGATTACACGCACCTGACACCACGCCCGGCTAATTTTTGTATTTTTAGTAGAGATAGGGTTTCACTGTCTTGGCCAGGCTGGTCTCAAACAACTCCAGACCTCAGGTGATCTGCCCACCTCGGCCTCCCAAAGTGCTGGGATTACAGGTGTGAGCCACCGCGCCCGGCTGCAAATTTCTAACTTTATATTACTACAAATAATACTGCCATGAATTTTTTGTTTCATGTTTCTGTTAATAGATGCATATGAGTTTCTCCAGGGTTTATACTTAGAAGTAAAACTGTTATAACTTCATCTTTGCCAGATAATGTCAAATAGCTTATCAGTGTGTTCCTTTAAGTCAGAGTTATCAGACTTAAGTATTCTTTGGATCACAGATTGCTAGCTCTGTGCCCAGAGTTTCTGATTTAGTAGGTCTAGGATGGAGCCAGAGAATGTGCATTTCTAACAAGTGCTCAGGTTCTGATGGTCCAGGGACCACACTTTGAGAATTGTGACTGTGCAAATTTATATCTCTGTCAGCAATTTGTGATTTCTCTATATCTTTATCATCACTTGGAATTGTTAGATTTTTCAATTATCATCAAATTGGTGGAAGTTAAATGCACCTCTTTATGGTTTTAATTTGAATTACCCTGATTATTAGTGTAATGGAGTATTCTTTTATTAGATCATTGGTCATTCAAAGTGTGCTTTACGTGAATTGCTACATTGTACATTGTTGAGTAGAAGTGAGGATAGTGAGCACCCTTGTTCTCACTTAAAAATCCAGTTGATGCAATAAGAGAAGGAAAATAAATAAAAGGTATAATAATTATAAAATGAGCTAATGTCTCTTTGTTTGTCTCCATAAAAATCTAGTAGGCTTACCTGTACGCCTGTCATGGTGGCATGCACCTGTGGTCCTCGCTACTCAGGAGGCTTAGGTGGGAGCATCACTTAAGGCCGGGATTCTAGGCTACAGTGTGCTAAGATTGTGCCTGTAAATAGCCAGTGCTCTCCAACCTGGGTGACATGTTAGGTTGGTGCAAAAGTAATTGCAGTTTTGCCATTGCTTTTGTACCAATCTAATAGCAAGACTCCATTTCTAAAAAAAAAAAAAAAAAAAAAAAGAAAACTAAAGAAAAACTACATAAAAATATCAATAGAGTTTTTATGTATGTATATATATATATATATATATATATATATATATATATATACACACTATAAAACAATTAGAGAGTGCAAAGAAATATAAGATTCCATACAGAATAAGCAATAAACATGACAAGGTAACAAAGCTAATAAAAGATGTGTAAATCCTTTATGGAAAAGATTACAAAGTTTAGCCATTAAGGGCTGGGCGCAGTGGCTCATGCCTGTAATTCCAGCACTTTGGGAGGCCAAGGCAGGCGGATCACGAGGTCAGGAGCTCGAGACCAGCCTGGGCAACATGGTGAAACCCCTTCTCTACTAAAAATACAAAAATTAGCTGGGCATAGTGGCAAGCGCCTGTAATCCCAGCGACTTGGGAGGCTTAGGTAGGAGAGTCGCTTGAACCCAGGAGGCGGAGGTTGCAGTGAGCCGAGATCATGCCACTGCACTCCAGCCTGAATGACAGAGACTCCATCTCAAAAAAAAAAAAAAAAAAAATTAGCCATTAGGCACAATGTTTTCAGTCACATTTAAGTAGATATACAACATTAATAAAGATCTATGTGTAAGAATTTTGTCATATCTTCATTTATAAAGATGCTCGTTAGATTTGCTCAAGATAGCTATTATTGCTTATATTATGTTACACATTTTCTAATGTTGAACATCCTGACATTCCTGGCATACTGGCATATTCTTTCCTTGGCAACTAGGTGAAATTTACGCACTATTTAATTTAAGTTGTTTGTATTTTAGTTAGAATTTTGCATCTCTGCTCAAATAAAATTGCATGTGATATGTTGATTGAGTTGTGCTGGAAAATTTTATTATTGACGCTATTCTAAGAAATTCTTGTATTCTGAAATTTTAAAAAAATGATTGGCAAATGAGTTTATAAAAGTGTCTAAACTAGACTAGTGTCTTTCAGAAAAATCATTTAATTGTTAATTCAATGTCTTTAATTGCTGTTGGTGTATTTAGTTTTTTTGATGTTCTTCTTTGGTTAAGATCTGTTAAATATATACTAGAAAACATTCAGTGGGCATGGTGGCTCACGCCTGTAACCCCAGCACTTTCTGAGGCTGAGGTGGAAAGATCGCTTGAGCCCAGGATTTCAAGACCAGCCCAGGCAACATAGGGAGACCCCTGTCTCTACAAAAAGTTTTTAAAAACTAGCCCCACGTGGTGGCATGTGCCTGTGGTCCCAGCTACTCAGGAAATTGAAGAGGGACAATCACTTGAGTCCTGCAGTTCAAGACTGCATTGAGCCTTGATCGCGACACTGTTGCCTGGCAACAGAGTGAGACCCTGTCTCAAAAAAAAAAAAAAAAAAAGAAAGAAAGAAAAGAAAATATTCAATTTTATTTAAATTTTGTTAATGTACTTGCATAATACTGCTAATAGAATTCTATTAGGATTTCAAAAACACGACACTGATTTTTAGATGTGTGTCTATTTTCTAATATTTTGTGTATTTTTCTCTTTTTATCACTCTTGCTAAGTTTATCTATTTTTAGCATCCATCTTTTTGTTTTGTTGATAATCTCTATAGTCTCCTTGTTTTATATATCACTAAAATATTCTTTTATTTTTATTATTTCATTCCTTTCAATTTTTTCTGTTACAAACAAAGACTACAAGTCATCCTTAACATTGATTCTTCCCTTTTCAAATAATAGAAAATCCTGAGTCTTGGTAAGGTCTTGTGACTATGTTCTGGTCAGTTCATCAGAGCAGAAATAATGAAGAGTACTATTCGATCATATATATAAAAGTAAGGTGCATGTGTCAATCATGATCTGTTCTTCACTCTTGCTAATCAGGCATTGACAAGAATTGGGGCAGCCAGCCATTGTGAACTGAGAGATAAAAGCAAATGCGAAGATGGCAGAGCTGCCTTACCTGACCCAGATCACTATGATTTGATAAAAAATAAGCACTTATCTTACTCAAGCCATTGTGTTTTGGGGTTTATTTGTTAGTACAACTTCTTTTGTACCACATCTTGTTTAAATCTTGTTTATTTTGAAGAAACGTAAGATAAATGATTTTACTTATTTATCTTCGATCTTTTACATTTGTTTTAGTAAAAATAAGGCTATAAATCTTCTAAGTTTTTCTTCAGTTTCATTAGAGCTCTTGATATGTCATAAAGTAATTTTCTTTTCTTTTCTTTTCTTTTTTTTTGAGACAGAGTCTCGCTATGTCGCCAGGCTGGAGTGCAGTGGCATGGTTTCAGCTCATTGCAACCTCTGCCTCCCGGATTCAAGCGATTCTCCTGTCTCAGCTTCCCAAGTAGCTGGGATTACATGCATGCACCACCACGCCCAGTTAATTTTTGTATTTTTAGTAGAGACGGAGTTTCACCATGTTGGCCAGGATGGTCTCGATCTCCTGACCTCATGATTCGCCCGCCTCAGCCTCCCAAAGTGCTGGGATTACAGGCGTGAGCCACCGCGCCCGGCCCATAAAGTCATTTTCATTTTAAATATTGTCATTTAGATCTCTTTGTCTTCAGGAGCAAAACTTGCAGATGCCATTTCATATTCGTTTAAGCCTCATTCATTATTTGCATTAGAAATATTTATATTGTTTTCCAATCTAGCTATATCTTTTGAGTTTTTTCCTTCTATTGGTATTTAATCTATCACTTTAAATTTGGAGCAGAGAATTGAACCAAAACAATTTACAATCATCTTGCGCATCATTATATATAATTGTTTAATAAATGGATTCTTTATTAATAAGAGATTAGCTTATGTTAATTAAGATGACCTTAGCACCTAGTATGTGCTTGGTATATCATCAACATGTTAATGATACTACGTTCATGTTCTAAATGCTTTACACATATTAACTCATGCCATTCTCATAAAAATTCTATGAAGAAAGTTCTATTATTAGCGTAATTTTAAAATGAGGAAGCTGAAGCAGAGAGAGGTTAATAACTTGCCCTAAGACTTAGGATCTACACATAAGATATTTGGTTCAAGAATGCATATACTTAACCATTTTCCTAAATTGCTCCACACACATTTGTTAAATGAGTGACAACAAAACCAATTGATTGGTTACCCAGGGCTATGATAACAAAGTACCACAAATTGTATGTGTTAAAACAAATACGACATTCAGGTGTTGGCAGGGCCATGTTCTCTCTGAAGGATCTGGGGAAGAAACTGTTCCATGCCTTTCCTTTAGCGTCTGGAGTTCGCTGGCAAGCCTCGGCATCTCTTCCTTGTGCCTGCGTCACTCCAATCACTGCCTCTATCTTCACATGGCATTCTTCCCTCTTAGTCTATCTCTGTCTGTTCTCCTTTTCTTAGAAGGACACCAGTCATCGTTAGGGCTGATCCTAATCAAGCATGAGCTCATCTTAATTTGATTTTATCTACGAAGACTCCATTTCCAAGTAAGATCATATTCATAGGTACTGGGTGTAAAGACTCAGGAACACCCTTTTGAGGGATGCAATTTAACTCATAACAGTAAGATGTGAATAAAGTAAATCTCCCCACAATTTAAAAAGTAATCACTTTAAGTGAAATACACTTGAAGCCTTAGCCGGATTGCCCTGGGTTTGCATTTAAGCTTCATCATTTGCTAGTTACATGAGTAGTATCAATTACTATACCTTTCTAAGCTTCAATATCCTTATATGTGCACACACATATGAAGAGTTTATATATACATATACATTATAGATAAGGAAATACATACATATTACATATAATCACATATAAGAAAATAGGATATTCGAGTATGATAATAATACCTGTGCTAAAGTGTTGTCGTAAAGATCAAACAGCAAAAACACATGCATGAGAAAGAAGTAAACCACTTCAGGATAGCGATTCCAGAAGAGAAATGGAAATAGCAAGGGGAGAAGGTAAAAGTAGAGCCTCTAATATAGTAATATCATTTTATTTCTTTGTTTTTCTGTTTATTTATAAATAAATAAAAGAGTTTGTAATCAAGATGGCAAATGTTAAGATGACAAATTTTAGGCCTGAGGTTGTACATGGATTTTATTTTATTTTTCCCACCCTTTTTTTGTGCACCTTAAATATTTCAGTTATGTAAAGAAAGAAATAAGTGAAATATTCAGTAAAAAAAAAAAAAAACTATTATTGCATTAATGTCTCAAGCCAACACAAGTTTCTCTTCATTTAAAAAATCTGTGGATTAAAAAAAGCCAGGTGGCCATTTTTAACCATTATTTTAAAATCACAGAAGTAATGAATGTTCAAGGTTATAATTCAAATACCAAAGTATTTAAATTAAATTTTCTCACTTTCTAACTTTTGACATATTTATACTATTCTCTAAATGTTAAATACATTTAAAATTTAAATGCAGTTAAAATAAAATGTATTTTGCATTCCATAAAATAGTTACACATACAAACATACATATATGCTCTTTTTATACAAATGGAATCATACATATATCTTGGCTGTATTTTAAAATCATCTCATAAAGACCTATTCTGTTCATTTTAGAGACTGAGATGTTTCATTTCATGAGTATATCATAATTTATTTAACCCTAACATTTAGGTTGGTTCTAGTTTTCTTCAGTTACAAACAATGATGAAGTGAATACTTTTGTACATACATCTTCTCATATCTCTGGGGGAAAAGTCTTAAAGGCTAAATTATTACATAAATGCATATATTCATTTTACATTTTGTTAAATCATTGATTATCAAATTATGAAGGCATATTTTACCTTATTGAATTGCTTGAAGGAAAAGGGAAGCAAAAATTTTTAAAAGATTATCAAACTTCCTTCAAATGAGTTCAAAATAAATGCTATTAATTTTTGAGAACCTATGTTGTGCCAGACTTTCCACGTAGATTTTCCAATGTAATCCTCTGCAGTAGTTGTATTACCAGCACTGCCTAGACCATGATGCTGTGACTGAGTGGTGAAGGAAAATGGATGCTATGGGACAAGCAGAGAGGGTGGAACCAAGATGCAGACCCAGGTGTGTCTCATTCCAGAGCCAGGTACTTTCCATTCCACAGGACTGCTTCTCACAGCAGCTCTGGGAGGAATACAGGTGTTTAGGGAAATGACTCTGTAAAGGCTGCATAGATTCCCCTCCTTCTAACACCTCTAAACTGAGAAACAAGCTTCACTTAATCTATTCCTCCTATTCCAGGCCCTGGGTCTCATTTTGTCCCTAGAAAGGGAAATGCAAAGAGCATTTTGGTTGTTTACCCGATGGATAATGAGTCAACTTTTCTCAATCAGACACCTTGTGACAAAGGGCTGATTCAATCTCGTCTCCATATTGCCAGTGTCACTCTAATGTTGGTTCCCATTTCTCCAGTCACTGGCTTCCTCACTCGATCATCAGTCTGCATATTCTTGCCCAGAGTCCTATTTCCTAAGGACAAGAGTTTCTTTTCACCAAATTGGCTTTTTCTTTTCTTTTATTTTTTATTTATATTTATTTATTTATTTATTTATTTATTTATTTATTTATTTATTTATTTTTGAGACAGAGTCTTGCTCTGTCCCCCAGGCTGGACTGCAGTGGCATGATCTTGGCTCACTGCAACCTCCACCTCCTGGGTTCAATTGATTCTCCTGCCTCAGCCTCCTGAGTATCTGGGACTACAGGCATGTGCCACCATGCCCGGCTAGTTTTTGTATTGTTAGTAGAGGCAGGGTTTCACCACGTTGGCCAGGATGGTCTCGATCTCTTGACCTTGTGATCTGCCCACCTTGGCCTCCCAAAGTGCTGGAATTATAGGCGTGAGCCACCGTGCCCAGCCCAAATTGGCTTTTATGATTAGCCAGTTCCCTATACCTGGTCCAGCCTGACTTCCCTCCACGACATGTGGTGTTAGTCCTGCTTTTGCAATCTACAGCCTTGAATTTCTATTCAGATTGCCCTATTTGCTAAGGTAATAAAATATTTTAAGGGAACTCTACCCATTCACAGCCCAGTTGTTCAGAGATGGATCTAAATCTCAATACTATTTCATTTCCTCCAAACTGTGCTGCTTCCTGTTTTCTTTTAGGATTTATTAAAAATAAAATGAATGATACTAAATCCTTTTCTTTAAGGCAAGTGGATATTTATAATTCTGGAATAAAGGTTACTTATACAGTGGGAATATTAGACATACGAATAGAGATGGATTCCAGGTCCTAGAGGGCTTCCACAGACTTTTAACTTTCTCTTGTTACAAATTGTTATAGAGTTTTCATTCATCAATGGATCCAGCCAGTAGGCAGCTCCAGATTTTCTGCAGTAAAGAGAAGTCTAGAAGGGGCTCAGAGACAGTAAGAGGGCAGGAGATTCATCTTAATACTGTGTTTTCATTGGAAGCAGATTAAGTTTGCTTATATTTTATATCAAAGATCAATAAAGATAACAAAGACTTCTAAGTATACCTCTAATCACATTTTGTGTAAAATTAATACTAGTCTTTCATGTCAAGTGGTATTGTTATTATCATTACCATTATTAACATATTTGAAGAGATGGAAAGATTGGGCAAGTTGAAGCCCCATCCTCCAGCCATTCCTTGGTTGACTATAAGGATCACTATCTTCCCCTAAAATACAGCCAAGATATGGTGTTCAGAAGCTATTGTTCTCTAGTAAGGTGGCAAATGCCAAGCTTAACATAATCTCTTCAATAATTTCTTTGATTTACAAAGACGCATAATTTCGGAAGGCCTGGAAGCCTGTCTTTCAAGATAACCTCTGGCTTGATGTTCACTGGTCATTCCAAGCTCATGAGATAAGTAAGAATATCGTGGGAAAATCAGTGTTGTCTAGACATTAGATAAGAAGAAAAGTATAAGATTGGCTACCTCAATATGCAACAAATATTGTTGGCACAACTTATCATGGGAGGCAAGCAGTTAAAAATGGAAAAAAATTGAGCCCCCACATCAACCTCCACTAAACCCAATATATATGTATTTGTAATTATCTTCCTGATCTTTCCCCAGTCTCTTTGGATTGAAAGTAAGTGCTATTTTCCTGACTAATAACAATGTAAAATATTTATCTAGCACTTAAACCTATCAGATGGCACTATTGTAAGAATTTTATGTTAATAAATCATTTAGTTTTCATAAAATCCTATAGCTAAGCTATTTTCATTTACATCATCATTTAAAGGAAATAGAAATACAGAGAGAATAAATATCTTGCCCAACGTCGCACAGCTATAAATTGCAGAGCCAGTAAGTGAAACTTAATAATCTGGCTCCAAAGCTGTGAGTTTGCCCACTACACTATGCTGCATCTCACTAGAAAGTTAGAACAGAAGGGATGGTGCTGTTTTTCTGGGTGTATATTTATCATTACACTAAGCATTCACATAGGGGTTTCAATCAGTTAAAGGCACAAATCAGGTAAATACATCATACTGAGCACTAGAGTGAAAGCAAATAAACACAATCTTGTTCTTGGTATGGTGGAGAGTATGTGGGGGGCAGTAACTTCCCTAAAATCTCTACCTTGGTGAACACTAAGTCATATTGTGTTAAGAGCTATATGAGAAGAGTGTTGAAAATGTGATGAGATACTGAGGCAGCATTCCTCATTAGAAAAACAAATTAATTATTGTATCCTAAATTTATATTTTTATTAATACGAGAGAGATTGATTACATTTTCATATGTGAGAGAATTTTCATTTCATTTTCAGTGACATATCTGTGGCCTATTTTTGTCCATTTTTAAAATTGAATTGTTGGCACATTTCTCTCATTTTTAATAGTTCTTTATATTTTAAAGATGTTAACTTTCAGTCCATTCTATTACAAATACTGTGTCCCATCTTGTCATTTTTCTTGTTATTATGCATATGGAGTATTTTGTTTTCATGATTAGAAAAGAATTTTGCCTTTCTCCAGATATAAAAGAATTCAGCCATTACATCATGTTTTCTCATTTTGCTTGTATGGTTTAATACTTTTATCTTTAAATACCTAATCCATTTGGAATTTATCCTAGTGTGTAATGTGAAAAATGGATCCAACTTGATGTATTTAATATATATATTCACTTATCTCAAAACCACTTATTACAAAATCTATAATTTTATCTATCAAGTCAGAGATTGCCCTTATTGCGTACTTGATTTCCATATGTGATTGGGTCTAATTTTTGGACTTTTCTTTTTGTCCGATTGTTATGTCTGTCTAGTCTTCTACCAACACTACACAGTTTTTAACATATGGGCTGTAGCACATTTTAATTTATGGTAGAATTCTTCCCTGTCATTACCCTTCCTTGCCACGTTTTCTTGATTGTTCCTCTGTGTGTGCAAATTTTTTTTCTTCTTTTATTGTTCTATGTTATAACTTAATTTTTATTCAGAGTCCTTATACTTTAGGAATGCTGTGGTTGCTTCTAAGTTTTAGGGGCTCATATAGGGATAGGGTACTGTGGTGCCTCTGTGTTTGAGTTATCTGTACAAGCAAGAACACTCAGACCTACGTTTCTCCATTTTTATTCCTCAGCCATAAGTATACACTGGTCACTCTTGAGATAGTTCGTGTTCCTATCCACAAAACTCCTTCGAGTCTCTTGTCATCTCTGCTGTGGCCAGCGCAGGCTGAAGCATAGGTGTAAAGCTGCAGCTTCTGCTCCACCTTGGGGAAAAGAAAACTTTGTATATTGTGTAGGACTCTGTCCACCTTCACTGATAACACATTCTTGACTCTCACTGATAGTGTTCTTCTTCCTCAGCCCACCTTATGAACATCCTGTTCTGCAATCAGGTCCCAGATCTCACATTCTCAAAGGTTCTCAATTTCTCTTTCTTTAGTCACTCTTACCATTACTTTCTTTTTCCTTTCCACCCATGTGATTCTCTTTCTACAATGATGGGGAGTAGTCATGGAACACCACTTTCTTTCTTCCACTGCTCCCAACTATTTTATTCAAAATACTCTAAATTAAAAAAAGAAATTAAAACTTTTGGGACACATAAGTCAGACTTTTAGGTCGTTTTGTTCTATGTTCTGTCACATACCTTTACTAAAGTGATGTTCACAAAGTTAAGGGTTTGTTTGTTTTTTTTCCTTGAAGGAGGAAAAGAATAGGAGGAAAAAAAAACTATGTAGTTACAATTTCTGGTAGAAATGGGAATGTGTGATCCACATACAGGATTAAAAGCAGGCAACAGAAATGGCCTTTAAGAGAATTCAGATTATTTACTTAACATACGAAGACTTCACAGCAGCTATGAATATATATATTTCCTTTTTGGAGACAGAGTCTCACTCTGTAAACCAGGCTGGAGTGCAGTGGCATGCTATCAACTCACTGCAACCTCCAGCTCCTGGATTCAAGCAATTCTTGTGCCTCAGCCTCCCAAGTAGCTGGAACTACAGACATGTGCCACCACACCCAGCTAATTTTTGTGTTTTGATTAGAAACTGGGTTTCGCCATGTTGGCCAGGCTGGTCTCAAACTCCTGGTCTCAAGTGATCCACCTGCCTCGGCTTCCCAAAGTGCTGGGATTACAGGCATGAGCCACCGCACCCCGCCTATAATAAACATTTTCAAGGAACTAGAGGAAACCATGCTTCAATAAGTAAAAGAAGGTAAATTGACAATGTCTCACTGAATAAAGACTATCAATAAAGATATTGAATTTATAAAAGAAAACAAAATGAACATCCTGGAGTTGAAGAGTACAATAATTGAAATAAATTAACTAGATGGGCTCAACAATAAATTTTAACTGGCAGAAAAAAGAATCAGAGAACTTGGAAATAGATTGATAGAGATTATGCAGTCTGAAGAACAGATAGAAACAAAAAGAATGAGGAAAAGTGAACATAGCATCAGAGAAATGTGGGACATCATTAGGCACATCAACATATATGTAAAGTTAGAACCAAAAAGAAGAGAGAGAAAAGAGCATTATATATATATAGCAACAGAAAAAATTTTCCAAATTTGAAGTTAAAAAACTTCACGTAAAATAAATTCAATGATATTTACACCTAGACACATTATAGCAAAAATGCTGAAAGACAAAGACAAATAAAATATTTTGTAAGCAGTAAGAAAAAATTAGTCATCACATGTAAGGAAACTCTTAATAAAATTAACAGCTAACTTCTCCCCAGAAACAATGGAGGCCAGGAGGCAATGGAATGACATATTCAAAGTGCTAAAAGGGTTATGTATTCATTTCAATCACTAACATTGTACCCCAAAATTGCAGGGTACAATTTCAATATAAAAATCAACTGTATTTCTATATAAAATTTATTGTATTTCTATGCACCAGCAATGAACAATCTAAAAATATAATTAAGAAAACAACTTGGCCAGGTATAGTGGCTCATGCCTGTAATCCCAGCACTTTCAGAGGCCGATTACTTGAGGTCAGAAGTTCGAGACCAGGCTGGCCAACATAGTGAAACCCCATCTCTACTAAAAATACAAAAATTAGCCAGGTGTGGTGGCACGTGCTGGTAGTCCCAGCTACTTGGGAGGCTGAGGCAGGAGAATTGCTCGAGCCCAGGAGGCGGAGGTTGCAGTGAGCCGAGATCACACCACTGCACTCCAGCCTGGGTCACAGAGGGAGACTCTGTCTCAAAAAAGAAACAAACAAGAAAACAATTCTATTTACAATAGCATAAAGAATAAAATACTTAGAAATAAGTTTAACAAACAAAGCGCCAACTTATGCGCTGAAAACTATAAAATAATCACTGAAATTAATTTACAAAGACCTAAATAAATGGAAATGCATCCACATTAATGTATCAGGGACTTAATATTGTTAGGATGGCAAAACTCCCCAAATTGATCTATAGATTCAATGCAATCCTTACCAAAATCCTATCTGAGGTGAATTTTGTTTTTGGCAGAAACTGACAAGTTGATTTTTAAATATCATATAAAAATGTAAGGGCCACCCAGAATAGCCAAAGCAAACTTTAAAAAAACAAACATTGAAAAACTCACATTTTCTGATTTCAAAACTTAATATAATGCTACAGTAATCAAGACAATGTGGTACTGCCAAAATGATAGGCATATGACTCAATGAAATATTATTAATATTTCAGAAATAAACCCTTTTATGGTACACTGATTTTTAATAAGGGTACCAAGTTAATTCAATGGGAAAAGAATAGTCTGTTCAATAATGTTGCCAGTACAACTGGATATCCATACGCAAAAACATAAATTTGAAAAATTTGAATCCCCACCTCATGCCATACAAAAAAAATAAATTCAAGGTTCACAGACCCTATAGAAAAGCTATAAACAATAAATATAAAATTCTTGGAAGAAAATACAGGAGTGAATATTTACAACCAAGGGTTAGGCAATGGTTTGCTAGACATGACACCAGAAGTACAAACAACAACAGAAAAGATAGATAAATTTGACTTCATCAGTATTAAAAATTTTTGTGCTTCAAAGGATACCACTGAGAGGCCAGGCACAGTGGCTCATGCCTGTAATCCCAACACTTCAGGAGCCTAAGGTGGGAGGACTGCTTGAGTCCAGGAGTTCAAGACCAGCTTGTGAAACATGGCAAAATCTCATTTCTACCAAAAATACAAAAATTAGCCAGGCATAGTGGCACACACCAGTTGGCCTAGTTACTTGGGAGGTTAAGGTGGGAGGATCTCTTGTGCTCAGCAGGCAGAGGTTGCACTTAGCCGATATGGTGCCATGGTATTCCAGCCTGTTTGACAGAGCCAGACCCTGTCTCAGAAAAATAAAATATAAAAAGGATACCACCAAGAAAGTGAAAAGACAACTCACAGAACGAAAGAAAATACTTGCAAGTCATATATTTGATAAGGGACTTACATCTAGAATATTTAACTCTTATAACTCAATTATAAACAGAAAAGTAGTTCTATTGAAATTTGGCAGTGTTAGCTTTGCTGAGCTAAAAAGAAATGGCAATGAATTTTAGTAGATATTTCTCCAAGGAAGATATACAAATAGCTAATAAGCACATTAATATCATTAGTTACCAGGGACCTGCTACCCCAAAGCATAGAGATGCCATTTTATATCCACTAGAATAGCTGCAATGAAAAGATAGATATTAACAAAGTAAGGTACCCTGGAATGATGGCTCATGATTTCAGAGTAAAGACACACAGTAAGTACATATGGTGTGCAAGTATCTATGTAGATTCATGTGTGTATGTATAATACACAAATACATACATTTATGTGGAAGAATTCTAGACATTAAAAGCTAAAAAATGTGACTAGCACATAAGTAATCTTAACTATGAAGACTCTAATTTGACAATGTAGGGCCAGAAATATGTATGCAACTATTAACAACAGCATTATCATTAATAGCCCAAAAGTAGAAATAGTGTAAATGTCTATCACTGGACAAATGGATAAACCTAGTGTGATAAATCCATACAATAGAATACCATTCATTTATAAAAAGAAAAAAGCTGCTAATATATGCTACATAATGGGTGGACCTCAAAAACATTATGCTAAGTGAAAGAAGTCAAACACAAAAAAATACATAATGTGTGATTCCATTTATATGAAACGTCCAGATAAGGCAAACCTATAGAGAGTAGATTAATGGCTCTCTGAGCTAGGGGATGGGATTGAGTACTGACTGCAAACAAACATAAGATATATTGGGGTAATAAAATATTCTAACCTGGTTTGAGTTGATGGTTGTAAAAGTCTGTAAATTTCCTAAGAATCATTGAACTGTACACTTAAAACAGGTGAATTTAATGGCATGTACATTATGCTTTAATAAATCTAGTGAGAAAGAGAGAGAGATTCAATAAGATGTTCATCCAATGTCAATTGACACTGAGTACCCTGGAGCTGGCTCAGGAATTCAGCTAGCTGAAGCAATGCAGCTGTGTCAGGCTGCTACTTTCTTAATTTGGGCTGAGTCACTTCCACTCCACCCAGATACATAAGATTCATAGCATTCCTGCCAGCACTCACAGTCTTTTTACCTGTAGGCTAGCAGTGTATGACAGATGCTGACTCATTCACTCGCCAATAGGCTAATCAGCATTGACAATCAGCAATTATACTGCGTTAAGCTCCCAACTTTGTTCTTCAAAGTTGTGGGTAGCTCTAATTTCATTTGCAGCTATGAAGTAGGGCTTTACTATAGGTATCACTCTTGACTTTGACAGAATATTTGTCAGGGGTACCTAAACACCAAGGACAGGACAAGGTCACCAGAGAGTATCCCTGGACAAGGTTAGTCTACAGAGGGAGAAGTTATGCTCATAAATTGAAACAAGGTAAGCATATGTTATCTGGTGAATGTAAAGAATTCTGTTTCTCAGCTTCCTCTCTTTGGTTTTTATAATTAGCCACTTCTAGGGCCACCTGAATTTATCATTTGTGAAGAGAATAAATGCAAACCAAGTCTCCAAATTATGCTGGCTGCACAATCTCTAAAAAATAGCTATTTCATGAGTCTCTATAAAAAATGTTCCTGCTGTAGGATACAAAATCAGTGTGCAAAAATAACAAGCATTCCTATATGCCAATAATAGACAAACAGCCAAATCATGAGTGAACTTCCATTCACAGTTGCTTCAAAGAGAATAAAATACCTAGGAATCCAACCTACAAGGGATGTGAAGGACCTGTTCAAGGAGAACCACAAACCACTGCTCAATGAAATAAAAGAGGACACAAACAAATGGAAGAACATTCCATGCTCATGGATAGGACGAATCAATATTGTGAAAATGGCCATACTGCCCAAGGTAATTTATAGATTCAATGCCATCCCCATCAAGCTACCAATGACTTTCTTCACAGAATTGGAAAAAACTACTTTAAAGTTCATATGGAATCAAAAAAGAGCCTGAATTGCCATGTCAATCCTAAGCCAAAAGAACAAAGCTGGAGGCATCACGCTACCTGACTTCAAACTATACTACAAGGCTACAGTAACCAAAACAGCATGGTACGGGTACCAAAACAGAGATATAGAATAATGGAACAGAATAGAGCCCTTGGGAATAATACCTCAAATCTACAACCATCTGATCTTTAACAAACCTGATAAAAACAAGAAATCAGGAAAGGATTCCCTATTTAATAAATGGTGCTGGGAAAACTGGCTAGCCATATGTAGAAAGCTGAAACTGGACCCCTTCCTTACACTTTATGCAAAAATTAATTCAAGATGGATTAAAGACTTAAATGTTAGATCTAAAACCATAAGAACCCTAGAAGAAAACCTAGGCAATACCATTCAGGACATAGGCACAGGCAAGGACTTCATGACTAAAATACCAAAAGCAATGGCAACAGAAGCCAAAATTGACAAATGGGATCTAATTAAACTAAAGAGCTTCTGCACAGCAAAAGAAACTACCATCAGAGTGAACAGGTGACCTACAGAATGGGAGAAAATTTTTACAATCTACCCATCTGACAAAGGGCTAATATCCAGAATCTACAAAGAACTCAAACAAATTTACAAGAAAAAAATCAAACAACCCCATCAAAAAGTGGGCAAAGGATATGAACAGACACTTCTCAAAAGAAGACATTTATGCAGACAACAGACACATGAAAAAATGCTCATCATAACTGGCCATCAGAGAAAGGCAAATCAAAACCATAATGAGATACCATCTCATACCAGTTAGAATGGCGATCATTAAAAAGTCAGGAAACAACAGGTGCTGGAGAGGATGTGGAGAAATAGGAACACTTTCACACTGTTGGTGGGACTGTAAACTAGTTCAACCATTGTGGAAGACAGTGTGGTGATTCCTCAAGGATCTAGAACTAGAAATACCATTTGACCCAGCCATCCTATTACTGGGCATATACCCAAAGGATTATAAATCATGCTGCTATAAAGACATATGCACACGTATGTTTCTTGAGGCACTATTCACAATAGCAAAGACTTGGAACCAATCCAAATATCCATCAGTGATAGACTGGATTAAGAAAATGTGGCACATATACACCATGGATATGCAGCCATGAAAAAGGATGAGTTTATGTCCTTTGTAGGGACATGGATGAAGCTGGGAACCATCATTCTGAACAAACTATCACAAGGACAGAAAACCAAACACCACATGTTCTCACTCATAGGTGGGAACTGAACAATGAGAACACTTGGACACGGGCGGGGGGAACATCACACACAGGGTCCTGTTGTGGGGTCAGGGGAGAGGAGAGGGATAGCATTAGGAGATATACCTAATATAAATGACAAGTTAACGGGTGCAGCACACCAACATGGCACACGTATACATATGTAACAAACCTGCATGTTGTGCACATGTACCCTAGAATTTAAAGTATAATTAAAAAAAAGAACTTTCCCCTTAGAAAATAAATAAATAAATAAATAAATGAAAAAAATATTCCTGCTGTAGAATAAAAGAGCAAGAAATTTCCCCAATTTTTTTCAAGAGAACAGTAGTTTAAGGAGTGCATTTAAGGAATAGGAAGGATCTTTTTCCACATACACTAAGACTGGGCTCAAGAGGTTCTGAAGAGCTTAGATACTTCTAGTGATGCTTTTTCACATTTTTAATGTCCCTGGGAACCAGGAGTTTATCAAGTTCAAAGCTGTACTCCCAAGACAGACATAATGTCAAGAACATAATTACATTAAATAATGTTTTTATTATATGATTGAGTAACATATTAAGTAAGTTACAGAGGCTTTTACAGACATTTCAAGAGCTAAGAGAAAGCTCCTAAGCCAGATGAAATCCCGGAGCTAAAGGTACCTGCAAAGGCAAGCGCCAGAGTCATTATAAGCAAGAACAACAGGAGAAAGATCCACAGTTTCTTTCTAGCAACTATGGATGGTTAAGAGCAATACTTATTAGAGGGCGACGAGAGACCACATGAGCACTTCAGATGTGTAGGTTCATAACGTCCCTCTTCTTTTCAGGCTTTCCTATGATATTTTGTAGTATGCAATGCTGTGCAGCATACTAGGGTGGCTGGACTTTGTTTGACAAAGAGGCTAGAGCCAAGTGAAATTTGATGTTCTTTCCTAAAAGAATACATGGGATCTTCATGATCTGAACATCTCCACGGCAGAAAGTATAGCTTAGAACACTATATAGCTTGCAAATAACTCTCAAGGACAAATCTTACTAGCTCATCATAAAAAGCCTAAATAGTAGGGAAGATATTATTCCTATTTTACAGTTAAGGAAACTGAAATCAAAAGAGATTAGGAGACTCTCCCAGGAAGTAGCAAAGCCACAAATTTAATCCAGATCTGCTTATTGCAAAGACAGTATAAATTCTTCCTTATAATACACCCTAATGGGAGGCACACAGCAGCTGGCTCTCCAGATGAGGCTGCTTCCATCAAAGCGGACTTGTTTGTTTTTCTTCTTTTCTTTGTTTTGCTTGAAGTGATTTTAGCTCAGCCAAAGAAGCAGACTCACAGAGTGCCATGAGCTATTTGTACCATGGTCACCTATATCAGAAAATGGCAAGGACTCCAAATATTAGAGCAAGAAGGGACATAAAGTTCTCTGGGCCCAGGCTCTGTATGTCACAGGTGAGGAAACTGCAGCCTAATGGACCCATGAGAGATAAGGATAAAGATAGCATGAACCTCAGAGGCCAACTGAGATGGTGACTGACATCCGAGTGTCTGTTCCACAGCCCAATACAATCTTCTCATCTAAAAGCAAACAGCACATGCTCTCAGGAGGGAAATAAGATAGAGCATTTTATTATAGTCTCTAAATTATGATTCTCTATTATTTTTACTAGGACTGTCAGCCTGAGTTGTCATAACTGCATTATAATCTCTTTTAGGACAGAGCCTAAGTAGAATGCCTTATTCACTTACCCCAGAAATTGCTAGTGTAAATGCAAATTCTTAGTGAGAACTTCATGAGCAAATCAAAACCTTCACCATACATGGCTAGGGTTAAGGAGAATGCTAACAAAATATGCATTCATTAAAAATTCAAATACAGCAAAGCAATATTAATCTTTAAAAGTATTTTTCAAAATGCTGCCAAAAGTAATACTGAAAATAAAGTCACCTTTGAGCAAAATTAGAGCTTGCAAAGCCATTTTTCCAATCTTGAAAATTCTAATTGATGTAAACCCAAAAGAACTGCAGCTCAGCAAGGTTTAGCTACACTTAAACACTCAGAAATTGCACTGTGCCATAGAGTTTGACTTCCTTAAACTCTCTGCAGGTTTCACCGGCAATAAGTAATGGGCAGGTCTTTTGTTGTTTTCATTTTCTGTGACTCTTCCATTTTCTATTGAACCAAATTTTGCTTTCTCAAAAACACCTATGAATATTTGGTACCACTAATTGGCAGCTTCAAGAATGGAATGGAATTGTTTGAGGAGGGATGGCCTGGGAAGAAGGAAAGCATTTCATGTGTCACAACTCATTACAAACCCAAGGAATAAATATTTCCTTATTGGTAAAATAAGGGAGTGGCCCTGCATACTCTAAGGCACCATCCAGTTCTCAAGTTTCAAAGGCTATGATTAAAACTAAACATTGATTCAATCAAGTGATATCATTTATTAAGCTAAATAAGAAATACTAAGCAGAATCAGCAGCTAAGCTCACTACAGAATTGTTTTTAAAACATATAAACCTCCACACTGTCAGATAATCTCATTTTAATTTGTTTCAGGGCTGCCTGGCTAGCAAGCCCCAAAATGAAATCTTATTTCATGTATAGCAGCAGATACAATTGTCTGCATTCACTTATTTGCCATTAGAGCTGGATAATTTCTTGTTCTTGGACTGCAGCTATAGTTCCCTTTGATATCTTGCACACACCTCACTAGGTGCAAAATCTTCACAGAGAAAAGAGGAAAGACAGGAAAGACAATAAAGTAAAGAAAAGGAAAGGGAGCCCACACTGTCTCCAAAAAGACATATAATAAAATTCAGTATTTTTTATGTCATCATATAAAGAATGACTTGTATATTGATCTTACTCTGTTGTTGCATTGATTAGGATCAAAGCCTCCCTTGCTGCAATGAAACCAAGTTCTGTAAACATAAGTTTCAGTCATCAGCTATATTAATTTACAGGAAAATACAATGACTAGGTGAAAAAATGCACATAACTATTTTTAGTAGAACCGAGCCTAACAGAATTTCTGATCCTATCAAAGTTCTAGTAGAAATTAGTCATGTAATTTAAAAATTTAACACTTGAATAACATCTGCTCTGTGCTAAGCCCTGTTCTAAGTCCTCTGTACATATTAAATCTCACAACAACCCAATGACATAAATGTAATTTTTATCTCCATTTTACTCACGACAAAAACTTAGACACAGAATTTCAGGGGCCAGGCATAGTGTCTCACGCCTGTAATCGCAACACTTTGGGAGGCTGAGGCAGGTGGTGGCACATGCCTGTAATATCAGGGAGGCCGAGGCATGAGAATCGATTGAACGTGGGTGGGGGGAGATGGAGGTTGCCGTGAGCCGAGATCGCACCATTGTACTCCAGCCTGGGCAACAGAGTGAGATTCTGTCTTAAAAAAAAAAAAAAAAAATTAGAGACTGTATTACGTTGAATAGTATTCCTCCTCAAATTCCCAAATTCATATCCACCCAGAACCTGGGAATGTAACTTTATTTGGAAGAAGGGTCTTCGCAGGTGTAATCAAGTTAAGATGAAGTCATACTTGATTATGGTGGCCTTAAATCCAGTAGGACTGCTGTCCTTATAAAAAGGGGAAAATTTGGAAACGGAGAAACACAGAGCACCAGGTAAAGGCAGAGGCAGAGGTTGAAGTGATGTGTCTACAAACCAAGCAACACTAAGGATTGTGAGCAACCAGCCGAAGCTGGAAGAAAGGCCTGGAACAGCTTTCTCAAGCACTTTCAGAGGGAGGAGCATGGCCCTGCTGGCTTCTTTTAACTTCAGGCCTCCACAATGATGAGAGAATAAATTTCTGTTGTTTAAGCTTCTCAGTTTCTGGTCATTTGTTAAGGCAACCACAGAAAACTAATAAAGGGATGTTCCCTAACATTTATTCAGCTCTGATTACAACTCATGACAGTCCAGCTCCAGAGTTCGCAAGCCTAACCAGCATTCTTCACGGTGTCCTATAAGTCACCGTATTGGCAGTGGATGGAAAAATGGGTAGAGACGATCGTAATTCTGTAAGTTCACCTTATTTTATGTCCTCAGAGGTAGTACAGATTTTTTTTTTTTTTTTTTGAGACGGTCTTGCTCTGTTGCCCAGGCGGGAGTGCAGCGGCAGGATCTCAGTTCACTGCAACCTCCGCCTCCCGGGTTCAAGCGATTCTCTTGTCTCAGCCTCCCAAGTAGCTGGGACTACAGGTGTGCACCACCACGCCCAGCTAACTTTTTGTATTTTTAGTAGAGACGAGGTTTCACCGTGTTAGCCAGGATGGTCTCAATCTCCTGACCTCGTGATCTGCCTGCCTCGGCCTCCCAAAGTGCAGAGATTACAGGCATGAGCCACTGCGTGCCCGGCTGGTAGTTAAGATTAATTGAGGTGAACCCAGGTTATCTTTCTAACAACTCCCACTACTACCTTAACCTCTCTTAGTTGTTCATCAAGTTCTTCATCTATAATATGGTGTATTAGCACTTACTCCCTGGATTTGTTGAGGATTATTGAGTTAATACTTCAATAATGCTTATAAGAGAGGCTGGCATGTATTAAATGCTTAATAACTGTTATTGATTGGCATTATTATTGCTATCATTATCATAATCACCACTATTAAAAAGAATAAATCCCACCTGCTTCAATAGATGGTTGAGATTTTCTCAGACCTGGGATCACATCTTGTTTCTGCTGCCTTTTCTTGTCTGTGTAGCTTGAAGAAGCTACTCAATTTGTCTGAGTCTTTTTATTGGACATTGGAATATTAATGTATGTCCAATTTTTGAGTCACTGTGAAATTTAGAAATTATTTGTATAGGCCGGGCATGGTGGCTCACACCTGTAATCCTAGCACTTTGGGAGGCTGAGGCAGGCTTGAACTCAGGAGTTCGAGATCAGTCTGGGCAACATGGTGAAATCTGTCTCTACAAAAAAGTACAAAAACTAGCCTGAAGTGGTGGTGTGCACCTGTAGTCCCAGCTACTGAGGAGTCTGACGTGGGAGAATCACTTGAGCCTGGAAGGCAGAGGTTGCAGTAAGTCTAGATCCCATCACCATACTCCAGCCTGAGCGACAGAGCCAGACCCTGTCTCAAACAAACAAAAATGTGAAAAATAAATAATTTGTATAAGTGTTCAACTCAGTGTT
The DNA here is from genome assembly GCF_000001405.40 of Homo sapiens. Lineage (NCBI taxonomy): Eukaryota > Metazoa > Chordata > Mammalia > Primates > Hominidae > Homo > Homo sapiens. The sequence continues at coordinate 52,153,540 of NC_000018.10, read as the reverse complement.
AGGAATATAGTAAGCAGAAGCTCACAATGAATGGTAGTTATCTTACTGTTATCATAGACTACTCCATTACCCAGTAATCTTTTCAGTCAAGAAATGCCTTCATTGTAGGCCAGGTGCGGTGGCTCATGCCTGTAATCCCAGCTCTTTGGGAGGCCAAGGCCGGCGGATCACCTGAGTTCAAGAGTTCAAGACCAGCCTGACCAACATGGAGAAACCCTGTCTCTACTAAATATACAAAATTAGCCAGCCATGGTGGTGCATGCCTGTAATCGCAACTACTCAGGAGGCCGTGGCAGGAGAATTGCTTGAACCCAGGAGGTGGAGGTTGCAGTGAGCTGATATCACACCATTGCACTCCAGCCTGGGCAACAAGAGCGAAACTCTGTTAAAAAAAAAAAAAAAGAAAAGAAAAGAAAAGAAAAAGAAATGCCATTGTTTCTCTAACCCGGATCATTCTAACTGCAGCTTAGGCATTTTCCCTATTTTTCTACCCTCAGTGATAATGAAGGAGATTAGATTTTTGGTTTTTGAAGAAAAAACTTTCCCAATCTCTAGCTTGAATGAACATCACAGGTAAAGGTAAATATTTCTACAAAACATGCATTTTTCTCTACATATTTGAACCTACATTTAAGCAAGACAAAACTGAGCCTTTAAAAACCATCTTTGTGAAGGTGAACATTAAAATCTCTTCTGGGAAGATAATGAGATGGATGAACTAATGAGAAATCTCTTTCGCTTGCCTCATGAAATATGGGTTTAATATTATTTTTCATTTTGTCTAGCATTTCTACCATCCCATCCCCTTACCTTCCTATTTCAGTGTCTTTATGGATTAATCCTTTTATTTATTTTTAATTTTACATATACATTTGGATAAATGGCTATGTAGGTGGTGAGATGAAGAGTTAATGAGAGGAGTTGTTGCCGATAACCAGGAGGAGTAAAACCTTTAATCTCTGTCAGGGATATAAGGTAATTTTGCTGCAGGAGTGATGTTATAATGAACACCAAAATAGGATTTCCATTATACCTTTTTCTCCCCACAACACCCTCTCTCCTCCCATTTTGCATTGCTATGCGAATGCTTAACTCAATTCTGCAAAGAAATGGTCTTCTTTAACTCCATCTTGTATTATAAAGAATGTCCCACACACAAAACCCTGTCATAGGCAGGGAGGGAAGTCTCAATAATCCTCAATCTCTGGAAATTCTTACAGGCCCTCCCCAGTGTCTGTGGGTGTGCTGGCAGGCTTACAGCTCAGGCAGCCAAGTGGAAAATAATAGAAGTAGGGTATTAAAGAAACAGAAAGAGAAAATGAAACTGTTTTAGTTATTTGTGGTCTTCACCAAATATTTCTAGGCCATTCCTTTTCCGGGCTTATAATAGGACTGTACTTTCTTTCTTGTTTGTTTGTTTCCAAGATGGAGTCTTGCTCTGTCACCCAGGCTGGAGTGCAGTGGCATGATTCCGGCTCACTGCAACCTCCACCTCCCGGGTTCAAGCAATTTTCCTGCCTTAGCCTCCTAACTAGCTGGGATTATAGGCTTCCACCACCACAACAGGCTAATTTTTGTGTTTTTAGTAGAGATGGGTTTCATCATGTTGACCAGGCTGGTTTCGAACTCCTGACTTCGTGATCCGCCTGCCTCAGCCTCCCAAAGTGCTGGGATTACAGGCGTAAGCCACTGCACCTGGCCAGGACTGTATTTTCTAAGCAGTTGCGTGAGGCCACGTGAAGACCTCTGACTGGTAAGAGGTCATGTGTGCCATTTCCAGGTTAAAACACTTAATTTGAATGTGAGACCTTTAGGAACTCTCTTTTTTCCCTCCTCTATGGCCACCAGCATGGGAGAGAGCAAAGGGAATAACTAGGTGAAGAAGCCAATAGTACTGTGAGTTTTCTGTACAAGATTCTAGGTCCCAGAACATGGGCAAAGTAGAGTTCCAAAGGATACCAACTATAAGCCTGTGCTATATGAGACAAGTAAATCTCCACCACTCTTAATCACTGGGATTTGGGAATTGTTTGATGTGAAGCATAATAGTCCAGTCCATCCTTATTCTACAGGGAATAATAACAAAAGTAAATGTTGATTCCTCTAAGAACTAAGACTTGAACTACCATTCCACCCAGCAATCCCATTACTGGGTATCTACTCAAAGGAAAATAAATCATACTACCAAAAGGGCACATGCACCCACATGTTCCTTGCAGCACTATTTACAATAACAAAAACATGGAATCAACCAAACAAGTATCCATCTACAATGGATAGGATAAAGAAAATGTGGTATATATACACCCATGGAACACTATGCAGCCACAGAAAAGAGTGAAATCATGTCCTTTGCTGCAACATGGATACAGCTAGAGGCCATTATCCTAAGTGAACTAATGAAGAAATAGGAAAGCAAATACTTTATGTTCTCATGTATAAGTGAGAGCTAAACATGGGGTACACACAAACATAAACATGGGAACAATAGATACTAGGAACTAATAGGGGAGAGAGGGAGGAGGGAAAAGGCTGAAAAACTACCTATTGAGTACAATGCTCACTACCTGTGTGACAGGTTCAGTCATTCTCCAAACCTCAGCATCATGCGATGTATCTTTGTAACAAACCTGCAAGTATACTCCCAAATTCTAAAATAAAAGTTGGAAAAAAAAAAGTAAATGTTGGCATTCTGAAACACAGAAAAGAAGTTCTCAGCAGTGCCAAGGGTTTGGAGGGGCTTTAATACAACCCTCTCTCATTTTCTTACATTTATCGGCACAGCCTGTCACCCACCACCACTTCTTTGATGTGGAAATTATTGTTTTATAATTTCTATAAAAGGGCTAGAGAAGAGCAGAAATCATTTCCTTAACCCTCTTTCCAATTAGCTTGTTAATCCTAAACACCTCCCAATGAGAAAGCAGGAGAACATGTGCTGTCATGTCACACACACAGCTGTGGATTGTCTTCTCCTGATCTTCGCTCTTGCCTTCCCTCTTGTTGGAAGTTGAGGTCTGTGGAAATAGACGCCATAATGGAATTGTGGAGCAGTTATTTGTTAAAGATCAACAGCTATTAATGGAAGAGGATAAAATCAGAATTAAGCATAGGGAAAAGTTGAACTTTAAGGCCGGTTCTAGAAAGCATCAACCCTTCCATCTGGGAGCCCTGGAGCATGTGTTGCTCATCAGAATGATTGGCATCAGGCAGAGATTGCCAAGCCTTATACCCTGCCTCACTGCCTCACAAGAAGTTGTGCCCTGAGGCAAAGTAGCTCTGGGTCTCTGAGGCCAGCCCTCACCATGCTGAGAGCTGGAGGACTTACTCCCCAAGGTAAGCAATGAGTCCTCCCTGAAAGCAGGATCTGGGCAAAGCATCTCCATGTTTACCACACCTCCTCCATAAAAATCCCTCTTTCCGTTTCCTAGAAGAAAAGGTGTGGATCAAAAATTAAATTCTGTTTCTCTGAGTCATGAGATAATCACTGATTTCATTATTACCTATGGGAACTCTGAGGTAACCAGGCTCTACAATGTCTCTCAAGTAGCCTCTAAATTGGTCGGCCTGCTTCCAGTTTCTGCCCACTTAAGCCCAACTTGCAACCCTTAGATTAATTTTCACAAAATGCCTCTGTCGTATCACCTTCATGCTTAAAAACCTTCATAACTTCCATTTGCCACGTTCCTTAGGCTTGCTCTCCAGATGCATGGGTCTCCGACAGAGGGAGTTTCTCTTCTCACTATCTCCAGAGGTTGTCCTCTCCAGCCAAATATTCTCATAGCTCCTTAAGCATAGCTTTGGCTTCATCACATATACTGCTTCTGCCTGGAACCCTATTCCATCATTCCTCTTGTCAAAATCTTTCACAACTCCAATTTCCAACTCAGTTATATCTTTTGTAAGTATTATTATTATTATTATTTTTAGAGACAGGGTCTCACTATGTTGCCCAGCCTGGTGTCCAATTCCTGGCCTCAAACAATCCTCCCACCTCAGCCTCCCAAAGTGCTGGGATTACAGGCATGAGCCATCATGTCAAGCCTTTCAATAATATCTTTTTCTAATAAGCTTTTTCTGACCATCCTATTAAGGGCTTTCTGCCTTCTCTGAACTCTCATAAGAGCATTACCTATGACCCTGGTTTTTTTATTTCATTTTGCATAGGATTCTGCATTTGGGGGTCAGAGGATAAGCTCCCCTGAGTATCCCTCTTGATCTTTTGCAGTGATTCAAGAATGATGCAGAAGAAGGGGCCAGGGACAAATTATAGGGAAATGTGGTTGCTGCTTTGGCCAACTAGTCTCAGTTTCCTTGTCTGTAAGAAGGGGAGGATGAATTGGATTTTCCCATCAGTCATTTTCAGCTCAAGTATTCTAAGATTGATTGCAGGGCAAGGGATGGAAAATCATATACATATCAGCCTCATGGCAGACCGAACCTCTTCTAAATAGTGTTTATGAGAAATGGATAAAGGAACAGGCATTATCTAGCCTAGCCATTAAGTCACTAAGAAAAAGCACTGTCTCATGTTGGATTTGGGTAAATCAAACACTCATTTCTGCTAGTAAGGAAACTGCCTCAAGAGAATCTCAAGTACAGAAAGAGAAGGAGAGGAGAAACAACATGTGACAGTTATTCTTCCTCTGGGACTCTGAAAAATACAATAGTCTCAGACCACGGTGTCAATTCAGTCAACTATTTACTAAAATCCACTTGATGATCATCAAAACTTTTAATCATCAAAAGCTTTGAGCAGTATACCAAAGAAATAATAGGTCTCTTGCCTTAAAAGGCCTTACAATCTAGCTTGGCAGGCAAAAATGACCACATGGTACAATAACTACAAGCACACATTGTTTTACTGTTCTTCCTTGTTGCACTTCAGAGATATTGCGTTTTTTATAAATTGAAGGTTTGTGGTAGCCCTATGCTAATCAAGTTTTCCAATGCCATTTTTCCAACAGCATGTGTTCGCTTCACGTCTCTGGGTCACATTTTGGTAATGTTGGCAATATTTCAAACTTTTCCTTATTACTATGTCTGTTACGGTCATCTGTGATCAGTGATCTTTGATATTACTATCATAACTGCTTCAAGGCACCACAAACTGCAACCATGCAAGATGGCGAACTTAATTGAAAAAGGTGTGTGTTCTGAATGCCCCTACAACAAGTCCTTCCCTATCTCTCTCCCTGTCCTTTGGCCTCCCTACCAATTAATACATAACAATATTGAAACCAGGCCAATTAATAACCCTACAAGGCCTCTAAGTGTTCAAGCAAAAGGAGGAGTCATACATCTCTCATTTTAAATCAAAAGCTAGAAATGATTAAGCTTAGTGAGGAAGGCACATCAGAAGCCAAAGTAGGCAGAAAACTTGGCCTTTTGTGCCAGTTAGCCAAGTTGTGAACACAAAGGAAAAGTTTTTGAAGGAAATTAAAAGTGCTACTCCAATCAACACACAAATGATAAGGAAGCAAGATAGCCTTATTGCTGACAAAGAGAAAGTTTTAGTGATCTAGACAGATCAAACCAGCCAACATTCCCTTAAGTCAAAGCCTAATCCAGATCTAGGCTCTAACACTCTTTAATTCTATAAAGATGTAGAGATGTGAGAAAGTGGCAGAAGGAAAATCTGAAGCTACCAGAGGCTGATTCATGAGGTTTGATCTCCATAATATAAAAGTGCAAGGTGAAGCAGAAAGCACCGATGTAGAAGCTGCAGTAAGTTATTCCAGAAGATCTAGCTAAGATAATTGATAAAGGTGGCTACATTAAATAATAGATTTTCAGCACACATGAAACAGATGCCATCTAGGACTTTCATAAAAAGAGAAGAGACATCAATGCCTGGCTTCAAAGCTTCCATGGACAAGCTGATTCTCTTGTTAGCGGCTGGTGTTCCTGGTGACTTTAAGTTAAAACCAATGCTCATTTACCATTCCAAAGATCCTGGGGCTCTCTGCCTGTGCTCTATAAATGGAATAAAAAGTCTAGATGGCAGCACATCTGTTTACAGCATGGTTTACTGAATATTTAAGCCTACTGTTGAGACCTACTGCTTGGAAAAAAGATTCCTTTCAAAATATTACTGTTCATTGACAATGTACCTAGTCACCTAAGAGCTGTGATGCAGATGTACAGGGAGATTAATGTTTTCATGCCTGATAAAACAACATCCATTTTGTAGCCTATGGATTGGGGACTAATTTTGACTTTCAAGTTTTATAATTTAAGAATACATTTCATAAAGCTGTAGCTGCCATAGATAGTAATTGATTTGATTGATCTGGGCAAAGTAAACTGAAAACCTTCTGGAAAGAATTCATCATTCTAGATGCCATTGAAAACACTCAAAATTCATGGGAGGTGGTCAAAATATCAACATTATCAGGAGTGATTCCAATTTTCATGGATGATTTTGAGAGATTCAAGACTTAAGTGCCAAGATAATCCTACGCAAAAAGAACAAAGCTGGAGGCATCACGCTACCTGACTTCAAACTATACTATAAGGCTACAATAACCAAAACAGCATGATACTGGTACCAAAACAGATATAGAGACCAATGGAACAGAACAGAGGCTTCAGAAATAATGCCACACATCTACAACCATTTGATCTTTGACAAACCTGACAAAAACAAGCAATGTGGAAAGGATTCTCTATTTATTAAATCATGCTGGGAAAACTGGCTAGCCATATGCAGAAAACTGAAACTGGACCACTTCCTTACACCTTATACAAAAATTAACTCAAGAGGGATTAAAAACTTAAATGTAAGACCTAAAACCATAAAAACCCTAGAAGAAAACCTAGGCAATACCATTCAGGACATAGGCATGGACAAAGACTTCATGACTGAAACACCAAAACCTATGGCAACAAAAGCCAAAATTGACAAATGGGATCTAATTAAACTAAAGAGCTTCTGCACAGCAAAAGAAACTATCATCAGAGTAAACTGGCAACCTACAGAATGGGAGAAAAATTTTGCAATCTATCCATCTGACAAAGGGCTAATATCCAGAATCTACAAATAACTTAAACAAATTTACAAGAAAAAAACAACCCCATCAAAAAGTGGGCAAAGGATATGAACAGACACTTCTCAAAAGATGGCATTTATGTGGCCAACAAACATTTATATATGTTTGTTGCTCATCATCATTGGTCATTAGAGAAATGCAAATCAAAACCACAATGAGATACCATCTCTCACCAGGTAGAATGGTGATCATTAAACAGTCAGGAAACAACAGATCCTGGACAGGATGTGGAGAAATAAGAATGTTTTTACACTGCTGATGGGAGTATAAATTAGTTCAACCTTTGTGGAAGACAGTGTGGCGATTCCTCAAGGATCTAGAACTAGAAATACCATTTGATACAGCAATCTCATTACTGGGTATATAGCCAAAGGGTTATAAACCATTCTACTATAAACATACATGCACACGTCTATTTATTGCAACACTGTTCACAATAGCAGAGACTTGGAACCAACCCAAATGCACATCAATGATAGACTGGATAAAGAAAATGTGGTATATATACACCGTGGAATACTAAGCAGCCATAAAAAAGGATGAGTTCATATCCTTTGCAGGGACATGGATGAAACTGGAAACCATCATTCTTAGCAAACTAACACAAGAACAGAAAACCAAACCTCATGTTCTCACTCATAAGTGGAAGTTGAACAATGAGAACACATGGACACAAAGAGGGGAACATCACACACCGGAGCCTGTCAGGGGGCTAGGGGAGGGATAGCATTAGGAGAGATACCTAATGTAGATGACGGGTTGATGGGTGCAGCAAACCACTGTGGCACTTGTATACCTACGTAACAAACCTGCACATTCTGCACATGTATCCCAGAACTTAAAATATAATTAAAAAAAAAAAGTGGAGGAAGTAACTGTAGATATGGTAGAAATAGCAAGTCTACAATTAGAAGTAGAACCTGGAGATGTGACTGAAATGCTGCAATCTCATGATAAAGCTTGAAAGGATGAGGAGTAGCTTCTTATGGATGAACAAAAAAAAAGTGGTCTCTTGAGACAGAATCTACTCCTGGTGAAGATGCTGTGAACACTGTTGAAATGACAACAAAAGATTTAGAGTATCATATAAACTTAGGTGATAAAGCAGGGCTTCAAAGAATTGATTCCAATTTTGAAAGAAGTTCTATTGTGGATACAATGTTATTAAACAGACGTTGAATGCTGCAGGCAAATTTTTTGTGAAAGGAAGTGTCAATCAGTGTGGCAAGTTTGTTGTCTGATTTTAAGAAGTCACCTCAGCCACCCCAGTCTTCAGCAACCACTGCCCTGATCAGTCACTGAGGCAAGAGCCTTCACCAGCAAAAAGATTATGACTCGCTGCCTTCATTTCGTTATGTACCCAGCAGTCATTCAGGAGCAGGTTGTTCAGTCTCCATGTAGTTGAGCAGTTTTGAGTGAGTTTCTTAATCCTGAGTTCTAGTTTGATTGGTCTAGTGGTCTGAGAGACAGTTTTTTATAATTTCTGTTCTTTTACATTTGCTGAGGAGTGCTTTACTTCCAACTATGTGGTCAATTTTGGAATAAGTGTGGTGTGGTGCTGAGAAGAATGTATATTCTGTTGATTTGGGGTGGAGAGTTCTGTAGACTTGGAACCAAGCCAAATGTCCAACAATGATAGACTGGATTAAGAAAATGTGGCATATATACACCATGGAATACTATGCAGCCATAAAAAATGATGAGTTCATGTCCTTTGTAGGGACATGGGTGAAGCTGGAAACCATCATTCTCAGCAAACTATCACAAGGACAAAAAACCAAACACCGCATGTTCTGACTCATAGGTGGGAATTGAACAATGAGAACACATGGACACAGGATGGGGAACATCACACACTGGGGCCTGTTGTGGGGTGGGGGGAAGGGCGAGGGAGAGCATTAGGAGATATACCTAATGTAAATGATGAATTAATAGGTGCAGCACACCAACATGGTACATGTATACATATGTAACAAACCTGCACATTGTGCACATGTACCCTAAAACTTAAAGTATAATAATAAGAAGAAAAGATTATGACTCGCTGAAGTCTCAGACAACTGCTAAAACTTTTTAGTAATAAAGCTTTTTTAAAATTAGGGTACATACATCAGTTTTTTTTAGACATAATTCTATTGCATACTTAATAGACTGTTGTACTGTATACATGTAACTTATACTAGGAAACCAAAAAAATTGTGTGACTTACTGTATTAGTCTGTTTTCATGCTGCTGATAAAGACATACTCAAGATGGGGCAATTTACAAAAGAAAGAGGTTTAACTGGATTCACAGTTCCACGTGGCTGGGGAGGCCTCATAATCATGGTGGAAGGCAAGGAGGAGCAAGTCACATCTTACATGGATGACAGCAGGCAAAGAGAGCTTGTACGGGGAGGCTCCCATTTTTAAAACTACCAGATCTCGTGAAACTTACTCACCATCACAAGAACAGCATGGGAAAGACCTGCCCCCGTGATTCAATTACCTCCCACCAGATCCCTCCCACAACACATAGGAATTCAAGATGAGATTTCGGTGGGGACACAGCCAAACCATATCACTTACTTTATTGCAATGTTTGTTCTTTTATGTTAGTCTGGAACCAAACACTATCTCTGAGGTATGCCTGTGTAAGGCAGCATGGAATGAAGTTCTGCATTATGAGAATTCACTGGGTCTGACTACAGTCTTCATCTCTATGTAGTGAATATTTTCCAACATTAACAAATACTTCTAAGCTTCATTTGCAAAAGGGTGAATAATGATAGTATCTACGTGATATGGTATGGGAGGGTCAAATAAAATAATGTAATTAAACTGCAGTTATGGCACATTATAAGAGTCTAATAAGTGTTTACTGTTATCATCACCATCATCATTCTCATCATAATCACCATTATAGTTTTATATGCCAGTGAAGGTTCAGACCCATCAGCTAAAGTAGCCAGACAGGGTTTCCTAAGAGAGGCTGAACTAAGTTTGACCTTAAAAATGGGAATTGGAGCTGGGCACAGTGGTTCATGCCTGCAGTCCCAGATACTCTAGAAGTTGAGGAAAGAGGATCACTTGAGCCCAGGAGTTCAAGATCAGCCTGGATAACATAACAAGAACTTATCTCCTTAAAAAAAGGAAAAAGAAAAAAACGGAGATGGAGATAGGTAGGTTGGAGATTGGAAGAGATATGAGAGCTGTGGCAGGAATTTTACAACTGAGAGCAAAAATATACATAAAGGATATAGGTAGACATGACCAACTGAGAAGCCTGTGCAGAAATAGCCTTCAATAATGGCCTTTTGAAGTGTGGGTGGCCTGAGGTGTATATACTCTCTTTTGAGAGTGGTGTCTGGTGGACAGACTAAATATTTACCTCATTTCACACTTCACCATAGAATGGATGAAAATCATGAAAAAGTACATAAAATCCCAGGAGCCATTGTCCTACTGGATTTTAGAATTTAGTGCCAAAATTTTGGCAAAGTGAAAATGTTGCCTTTTCTACTGGAGACATGTAAGAAATTGCTTGATAAAGGCTGGTGGTTCTGGAAAGGAGTATATTGTTGAATATGTACATTAGCAATTTCTAAGCATTATTGGGTTAACCTCACCTGTCTTTTTCATAATGACCTTCTTCCCTGAAAGATTTGTTGTGTCATTATGGCTACTGGTTAAATTAAACTTTAAAGAAAAATAATAGAATAATTAATTTTAGGATCTGCAGATTTCAAGTAATAAACATTCATAAGGCTTCATTTGGGAGCCACTGAGTAACTAAGCTTTTTTCTCATTATGTAGTCAATTTACTTAATTTGAGGGAGCCATGTTTGTTTGTTTTTAAAAAAAAAACTTGGCCAAGTGCTGTGGCTCACTCCTGTAACCCCAGCACTTTGGGAGGCCAAGGTGGGTGGATCATGAGGTCAGGAGTTCGAGGCCAGCCTGACCAACATAGTGAAATGCTGTCTCTACTAAAAATACAAAAATTAGCCAGGCGTTGGGGCAAGTGCCTGTAATCCCAGCTACTCAGGAGGCTGAGGCAGGAGAATCTCTTGAACCTGGGAGGCGGAGGTTGCAGTGAGCCAAGATCACGCTGCTCCTCTCCAGCCTGGGTGAGGCAGCCAGACTCCATCTCAAAAACAAAACAAAACAAAACAAAAAAAACAAAAAACCAGAAAACAACTTTTATTAGCTTTTAGCGTTTCACCAACTTGTCTTAATCAAAATGCTTATTATTTGTGTCTTGTCATTAAGGATAATCCAGTTATTCTATAGATAGTAATTGCATGTTAAAAAAAAAAGGAGAAAAAACATTTAGTTACTACCACATAATTCTACTGTTTCTTCCAAGTAAAGGCAGAAATATTTGTAATTCAATTGCATGAAGTCATTCTAGGATAAGGGCTAATGGCAGTTAAATGAAATATTCTCTGCCAACAGCATTGTGCAAATTTAAGTTCTTTATTTTGAATGTTGAATGATATTAGCTACATTTTCCCCATTGTCACTGGAGAGAGGAGAAGTAACTTTGTAAACATTTAATTTCATTTTCTTTTATCAAATATGTATTGAATCCCTACTGTGTGCCAGGAATTGTTCAAGGCTGTAAGGATGTCGCCAGGAGCAAGACAAAGTTCTTGCTGTCACTGAGCTTAAATTCTAAGTGAAGGAGTCAGCTAACCAGCATATAGGTATGTATGGGATGGTAATACATTCTATGAAAGTATATAAAGACAATATAAAAGGGAAGTGAGAGAGAGGTGCATGGATGAGAATGATTTCTATTTTATACTGTGTGGTCAGGAAACATCTGTCAGATGAAGAAACATTTGACCAGAGATAATAAGCTATGTAGATACCAGGAGAGACAGACGAAAAAACACACCCTCCAACAATCACGTATGCTTACACATTCCCACAAATCAACAGCCTGGGTAAAGAGATTCAGAAGGGTTTTTCACTCACGAAAATTCTCCAAAATTGTAGTGCTAACCAGAACATGGGTCTCTGTCTTTGAGATGTTAATAAATGGTCTCCTGCTTAATTTCGACTCGAAGGAGAGACTGTAAATCTGAGAGGTTGCCGTACATCATGCATATTGCAGAAATTAGCAGGCTCGAACTGCCCAGAAGGCTGAACAAAAGTGGGATTTATACTCCTCCCTCACTGATCTTTCACACATGAATCAAATGATATATTCCCAAGGAAGAATTAGAAACTGACACGCTCTGTGCCAGCGTGCAGATAAGGTTGGGACCTGTGTATATTGGTGGCTACACTCGGATCTCTTGTGTCCCTCTGCCATATGGAGATTAATCTGGCTCAAGACCTGCTGATAGCTGGAATTAATAATCATCCTTACACAATACCAGCCGGTCACCACAGAAACGTGCTCCTGAATGGAGCTGGAGTCATCAAGCACAACCCAACCATCACCTGCTCCCATTCTGCCTTTTGTTAACCTTAAAATTAAACACAGTCACAAACCCACTTACAGAGAGAACAGATTTCCACAGCCCTTAGGAATCCCAGAGGCAGCTACCACAAGCCCCCAAGACCCAACCCAGGCCCTACTCTTTCATTCAGTCCTATTGACAGCAATTTAAAGCAAAAAGTTCAAAGAACACATCTATCTAGATATTCAGCTCCCAGCAAATTTGAATTTGCTAACTAATAGAAACAGGGAAAGGAGACCCATAAAAGAAGTAAATAATGAAAATCGACTACTTGGTAGAGACAGAATATAGGGAAATTTTAAAGATGCAGCAGAACCAAGCACAGAACAAATGTGGATGCTGAACTAGGTCTGACATCTCCTACCTTTGAGAGCCCGAGCAAATTTTCCACCCTCTCTGTGCCTCTTTATCTCAACTAAAAATGGGTTAATGGTAAACCCTTACTATGAGACCTATAATTTATACTGCATACTAGTTCAGTGAGTATACGTGTCTAGTATAGAGAATTACTGTACACCCTGAGGCAGTCTTTTTTTCCTAATTAAGAATACACTTACTAGCATTTAATATGAAAGGACCCAGTTACAATCCTTTTTAAACTATTTTGATTCACACTGGAGGTTTTTTTGTTTAGCATACTAATTGATAGAAATAGTTTTTTCACTGGTGAAATTAGTGGATTGTGTTTAGCATAATGGGTGTTATTCATCGATTTTCATTGATTAAAATTAGTGTTAAGATATAGATTGTCTGACATATTGAAAATATACTTTCCACCACTCCATGAACAGGGTATTCTTTTGCTCTTAGAAGTAGTGTTCTGAGCTTGATTCCTAAATAATTATGTATCCAACTGCTGGCTCTGAGTATTTAATTACCCATGTCTGACTAGATGGTTAGCCAATTCCTACTGTAGAGCATTGTCACATTTGCTCGAAGGGGCCTTTCATGCAACTACCAGTATAATCTCCCCGGAGCACAGTGATCTTACAGAACAAGTTATGACTGTTATTTTGTGCCTGCATGTTAATAAATGTTCTGTAGTGTTTCCATCATGCATTTAACATAACACAAGAATTTGTTACATATTTTTGACGTTTTATCCAAAATATCTTTTCAACTTTTGATATCTGTAAGTATATGCTTCAGTTATATGAAGACTTCACCTGTATAAAACACTTTTTCTTACGACATTTCCATTCCTAGTTGTTGTTTTCTAACTAGGTTGTTTTTGTAACTTTGGACCTAAGCGATTCACATTGTTGGGAGGCAATTTTCCATTGGTTTCTTACATTTATGTATATGTTGCATGTATAAGCACTACTGACTAGCTTTGTTCTGGACTGTCTTTTTAAGGATGTTTGTATAGCAAACAACTTAGGTAGACAGAGATAGACTCTCCCTCAGTAGCAAACAGCAGGTTTATTTACTGTCCAGTTTATAATGTCTCTCTCTAGTGCAAAGTTTCGGCAGAATTATTGTGCATTATGAAAGACTTGGCTCCCAGAACCTTGGGGTTCCTCTCCTATAATGCAACCTATTGGTATTTAAGAATCACCTGGCTCTCATGGTGTTTCCCTGTGGGAACTGGGGCTCAGAGAAACAAAGCAAAATGGTAATAATCTGGCTATGGCTATTGCTGTAAGTAGTAAGATGTTCTTTGTCTTTCCTCTGAGTCTTGTGTCTTCTGCCAGTATGTATGAAATTTTGGCACACTAACTTGTTAGCTCACAAATAGGGTAAAATCTCAGGATGTTAACAGTTTTGACACAAATTAATTCTGAATTAATGTTATTTCAAGTAAACAGTATGATGAATACCATGAAGTCCAAACATGAGCAGGAAAACTGTGGAGACTCAAGAATTCTCAGTCTAGACAGAATGGAGAAAATAACTTGCATTCTACTTTAGACAGGGGCAAGACCCAAAGCTGCAAAGTTGGTATAAGAATTGATTGCAAAAGAAGAGTGAGAATATTTAAGAGAACCAATTCTTTTCATATGTCTTTAAGCTGATTAGATGCATCTGTTTGTATGAAAATAATTGGAATTTCAAATACAAAAGATTTGTTTCTATTCAATAAAGAAATAACCTCTGAAAATCTACTAAACATTACTTTCCCCTATTTTTGAAAAATTATTTTTTTCTGAAATATTTGACCTTGTTTTTCTTTATTGTATCTGATAATGCAAGTAATACATAGTCATGATAGAAATTATAGAAAATTATGTGAAACTGTGAAATATTAAAAAAGAACTCATTGGAGTTCTACTTCTGGAATAGCAGTGTGAAGAGCCTTGACAACCCACTCCCAATTAAAATAACCGTAACAGGTGAAAATTATTTTAAAAACTCTTGAACAAATCATTATAAATTGGTTATGACAATTGGCCTGTAAATTACGATAAGTAAACATTGATGGACAAAAATCTATTAAATTTTGCTAATAACAGCTGGTGTCTGTGGTACTTCTATTGCAAACCCACTCTCCTTCTTCAGCTCAACATAACAGAAGCTCCATTCTGGTTTGGTGTGACCCAGAAGATCGGGCTCCAGATCCCTTAAGCTCTTAACCAAGGGAAACAACGCCTTCCAGGAGAAGCACACAATCAACATTTCTCACCACCCTTCCAACTGCCTCCAACTTTCAGAAGCTAAGTTCCTGGCAAGTGTGGCTGAGAGGCTGGGGCTCCCACCATTCATTCATACAGTAGAAGGCTTAAAACAGGCTCAGAAGACAATACTGAGGCCCTGATTGCCTCATTTTAGTTCATTCATAGGGTCGAAGTTTCATCCATTAGAGACAAACAAAACAGATTAGAGGCTACTGGCCCCACCCAACACCCTCCTTCTAAAACAGGGTGTCCCAAGAAGCAGGCTACAGTCCCTATGTCCATCTAAGGAGTGGCTCAGAGATTTTGATCAGGAGAAAAGTCCGTGAAAATAAAGAGGTGTAAGTGTCTCTCCCCCAAAAATGGACTTTATTTGGAAAAGCATATAGGGAAGTTAAAACCTAAGGATGCTCTCAAGAAAAAACTGGATTTTGGTGGTATACAATTAAGAAGTTGATAGCTTTGTGAGAGCAATAACCTAATGCATAGACCAGTTTACCAGAGAGAATCAGGGAAAGACACAGCTAAGAAGTGAACTCCTGGGATCAGAACAAATCTCAAAGACTGGCATTTTTTAAAAAACCCAGACCTGAAAAGGTCTCTGAATTTAGCTGGATAAGACTGTGGAGCAATTTATGACACAGAGCATTGTTGAAGACAATAGAGAAATTGTTCATAAATTAGCAGAATCTAATAGCTGGTGTCACACTGATAGAGTTAGAGGAATTAAGAGAATTATCACGGAAAGTGTCAGTTAAAGAGAGGCCTGCTAAAACAACTATCATCCAAGGGTGACCAAATACTCATGGATATGCCTTCCAAAAGGTGACATCAGAGACTTCACACAATGGAGGAAATATACTTCCCTAAAATATTTCAGTCAACCCACTAAAGTATTAAGTGAACAAAAACAAAAAGAAGCTCCAAGTAGAAAGGGATCAGTATCTAAGGTTGTTACAATATATTACCTAAAATGTACAGTTTTCAACAAAAATGAGTTTTCAACACTGTGGAGTGGTGTTCACTCTAGAGAAATACTAAGCTGTTACCCACACACAGGGGAAAAAATAGGCAATAAAAACAGACTTTAAGAGGGCCCAGATGATGAACTTAGCAGACATAGACTTTAAAGAATTTGTAATCAACATATTCAATGAACTAAAAAAAACCATGTTTAAAGAAGTATGATGATAATTCTTCACCAAATAGAAAAAAGCACTACAAAGATAAAAATTATAAAAATAAAACACAACCAAATGGAAATTCTAGAGTTGAAAAGTACAGTAACTGAATAAAAATAGTTGTTAAATGGATCAGAAGTAGATCCGAACTGGAAGAAGAAAATAACTAAGAACTTGAAGACAGATTGATAGACATTATGCAATCTGAAGAACAGATAGAATAAAGGAAAAAGAAATGGAGCTTAAGAAAAATGTGGAACACCATTGGGTGCACTAACATAGAAGCACTGGCAGTATTAGAAGGAGATGGTGAGAGAAACAAGTAGAAAACATTTTCAAAGAAATAATGTCTAAAATTAATCTACACATCCAAAAGTTTAACTCCAAGTAAGCAAAATGTAAACAGACCCACTCTGCAACACATCATAACAAAATGCTGAAAGCCAGAGAGAAAAATTTTGAAAGCTGCATGAAAAAGCTATTCCTCCCATAAAAAGCATCTGAGTACATTTAACAACTGATTTGCCACTGAAGACAATGGAGGCTAGAAGCACTGGGATGATAATTTAGGTGGTGAAAGAAACAAAACAAAACAATACCCTCTTATCCAAGAATATTAATCCAGCAAAACTATCTTTCAAAAATTAAAGTGAAATGAAGACATCTCAGATAAACAAACACAGAGGGAAGGGTTTTTTTTGTTTGTTTTTTGTTTTGGTTTTTACCAGACTTTCCTTATAAGACACACTGGGCCAGGTGAACTGGCTCACACCTGTAATCCCAGCACTTTGGGAGGCCAAGGCAGGCAGATCACCTGAGATCAGGAGTTCAAGACCAGCCTTGCCAATATGACAAAACTCTGTCTCTACTCAAAAATACAGAAATTAGCCAGGCATGGTGGCGGGTGCCTACAATCCAAGCTACTTGAGAGGCTGAGGCAGGAGAATTGCTTGAACTCAGGAGGCAGAGGTTGCAGTGAGCCAAGATTGCACCATTGCACTCCAGCCTGGGTGACAGAGTGAGACTCCATCTCAAAAAAAAAAAAAAAACTGAAGGAGTTTTTCAGGTTGACAGTTAGTAACCATTGGTAGTAATTCAAATACACACCCACACATAAAACAAGAGAACCAGTAAAGATAATAAGGTAACTACAAAAGATACTTGGGAACATACTATACATACTTCCTTGTAATCTGGGCTTTTTTTTTTCACTTAGTAGTGTGTTTCCAAAAAATAGTAATTGTTGGCCTGGCACAGTGGCTCATGCCTGTAATCCAAGCATTTTGAGAGGCTGAGGCAGATGGATCATTTGAGGCCAGGAGTTTGAGACCAGCTTGGCCAACATGGTGAAACTCTGTCTCTACTAAAAGTATGAAAATTATCCAGGTGTGATGGTGTGTGCCTGTAGTCTCAGCTACTTGGGAGTGTGAGGCAGGAGAATCACTTGAACACAGGAGGCAGAGGTTGAAGTGACTCAAGATTGTGCCACTGCACTCCAGCCTGGCAACAGAGTGAGACTGTGTCTCAAATAATAATAATAATAATAATAATAGGTTTAAATAATTTATAGATTAAAAAACACATCCAGCAGTTTAGCAGAGTAACAAAATGCAGTACTGCTCCTAAGATTTGAAATTATTAAAAATTAGCCTAACATTTGAGGAAATGAGTGTCCAGATACTATTTTCTTATATGTATCATTTAAGCCCTCTATGAGTTTGTGTGGTTTTGCGGGGTTTGTTTTTTGTATTTTTGTGTGTGTGTTTTTTTAGATTTTTAATTCCGTTGCAAAATTGTATTTACTAAGTGCTAGGAAACAACCAAATAAAACCTTGGATAAAGGGATATTAGCCTAGGCACTGTGGTTGGTCAGCTGGCAGTGGGATGCCATGGGTAAAACGGCATCCCACTGGTCTGGAGCGTAGAGGCCTTGTTGAAGTTTTAACTTCTAACTCTGTTCCTAATTCACTGTGTCTTTTTCTAGACATGTAGTCAGGTTGCAAGGACAATAACCTAATCAGACTAGCAAAAGCAAAGTCATGGGATATGGTTATTGAAAACAAGTGACAACATTACCCCAAAATTAAGCATAGCCAGGCTGCACATGACTTGAAATTGAGAACAGGAAAGTTAGGAACTGAGTCAGGGTGCTCTCCCTCCATCTCTTACTCTTGTTCCTTGTTACTAACTAGTGTACATGTCCCTCCCTATATATGCTAGGTTCCCCCCTCTTCAGCCCCACATCATCTACTTCTGTGTTTTCTGCTCCCTCAAAACTTATGCTTGCATGCATCTCCATGGAATGGTGTTGACTCCAGCCCTGACTGTAATTGTCCTTTCAGTTTAAGAAATAACTGACCACTTTTTCTGTGTTTTTTTAGATCAAATTCAGTACAGAAACAATTGCAATGGTCTGGTCCAACTTATAGACTTAGTCTTCTTGAAAGTATCTCTTGTGGAAAAAAATCACATAAAGTTGCTCCGCTGAGGGTAGCAAGTAGGACCAGCTAAATTCAGAGAGTATAAGGGTGTATCTCAAAGTCAGTTACACTGCTCCTTAGGTCAGTCACTACTCTCTCTTGCCTGTAATACTCATCTATAAAATCTTTCTTTGTGGCTCCTCCAGTTCGGAAACTGCCTTTGCAAATATTATGACAGCAGGAGAAGCTGAGCATGGCTGACTCCATCCTGCTTCTAGCCTCACAGGCTGGCTGTCTTCCTTCATTTGTGGGTGTAGGCCAACCTAACTTGGGAGGAATTTAGTTTATAGTTTACCTTTGAAGCAAGGATGATACTAGCCCCTCCCTAAAACTGACTCCCTCCTTCTTTAGGTACTGAAACCGCCTTTGTAGGACTCATGAAAGACCAGGAGACTACGATTATGGGAAGGACCTGAATTCTGCTAAGATGTTTAATAATAACCAGCCCTTGTTCCT
Source organism: Homo sapiens (assembly GCF_000001405.40). NCBI lineage: Eukaryota > Metazoa > Chordata > Mammalia > Primates > Hominidae > Homo > Homo sapiens. The sequence continues at coordinate 52,134,310 of NC_000018.10, read as the reverse complement.
TAGCTTGCTTTCCTGCAGTCTCTTACTGCTAAGGAGTCTTGTGGCCAGAGATCACAAGATTTGTGACTCCCCCAGTTGTTCCTATGGATAATATCACTATTATAAAATCTAAGATTGGTTTTTTGAGATATTTATCAGACTTTTGTGTTCCAGAGACTAACTCCTCCCAGATCCATGACTTGTGATTGAATCAGTCAGTTCTGTGGCCCCCCACCCAGAGGCTGACTGAGCATGTGAGGACTACTTTTCATACCCCTATGATTTTAACCCCAAACAATCAGCACCCATTTCCTAGCTCCCTGCCTGGCAAATTATCCATAGAAACCCTAACCTCTGAGTTCTCAGGGAGGCTAATTTGAGTAGTTTCTCCCAACCTTCTCCTTGGCTAGCCCTGTGATTATTAAAATCATTCTCTACTGCAATACTACTGTCTCTGTGAATTGGTTTTGTCTGTGCAGCAGGCAAGAAGAACCCATTGGGCAACTCCAGTTCAACTAGAATAGGCTATTTCCTAAGGGATGTATCGATTGCTAGTATAAGAAGCCTTTCTTAATTCTTGGGTGTTCTGCACACACATTTTTATTGAATGGCATAGGACAGTCTTATTTTATAGGAGAGTGACAGAAGTAGGTTATCATATGCATTAATCCCCTCTCACCCCCCCACCCCCACCGGCATACCTGATATTTCAGTGTGTCAGGAAAAAAGAGAATTTCACATTCTCTTTGGTTCATTTTCTAAGAACCGGGATTTAGCCTAAGCATCTGACTTGAGGATTTCCCCAATTACATTCTGAAAGAGATTTCCACAATTTTTTTCCACATGGAGATGCTTATGCATATCTGACATTAATGAAAGGACTAGTTCAATTGCAATTCTAAGAAAAATAAGTTACTCTTTAAAAATTCAACCTCCTTCTCTCTACTTTGCAATTTTTGTATTGCAAATAGTACCATTTCTATAAATAACATATAAGCAAGGTGTGAGCAAGTTGAGCCCTTAATTGGATGAATATATCTGAGGCTAAATGACAGAACTTCTGTTATCAAGTTGCTACTTATGTTTTAATGTAGAATTTCTAACAGATGTCCTCACCTGGGGCTGAGATAGGGGAGGCAGACATAGAGTTGAGGATGAATGAAAAAAGAATGTTAAAGTGGGCTTAACCAATAAGATAAATACATGTATTGGCTGTATTCACAAGTACTTTAGGTACTGTGGGAAACCCAGTCTTGCCCACCCATGACTCCCTGTGATCCCTGACTTCAGGTTTTAGCACTTTCGACTTGCTAAATAAACAGTGGTCAAGAAACACCTTTACTATAAGTCTAAAGGATGGCCAATGAACCTCTAAAAAGATTTCCAGTGGATGAACTAATTGTAGCTTGATTACATAATATTTAATTCAGAATCTTATTAGAAACTCACAGTCTTCTTCAACTATTTTTCTTTTATCACAATTACATTGTTAGTTCTTAATCAAAACAGATTGGGCTATATTTTTTTTCTGAATCCTCTTAGAGTCCTTAATATACTTCTAGCCAGGTGCATAGTAGACACTCAATAAGTGCTTATTCTTTTGAATTAAGTGGAACATATGGTCCTTTAGGATCTAAAGCAGCCTTTTCAGTTTTACCTGGAGGTAACTTCCATTTTGCTTAGCAAATGGAACAGGAAAAAATTATATATATGCAAAGTCAGCATGCTCATAAAATATAGTAAAATGTCAGAATGTTACTTTCTTAGAGATCATCTGGTATACAACTGAGAACTGAGGGGTGTGGCTACCTGGTCAAGACACACAGCTAATCAGGATCTTAGATTTTTCTCTGTTCTCATCATTCCAACAGCTACATAAGTTTTTTAAAGACCTTGACCATGCTCTATAATCATTTCCCATCAATGCGCCTAGCTCCTTTAGTACTGGTTAGTACTCATCTCCTCAAAGAGTATACTTTCAGCAGGTGCTCAGAAGGATTTGAATGTCTCCATTCATTTGCCTCACTTTTCCTTTTCCCATTGTGGTGTTACGGTACGTGTATTGGTTTGGTCCACGGTTCCTGGCTTATAACTCCCATAGCCCTTGTTACAGTCTTTTGTTATAAAGTTGGCTGTGTTAGGCCTGAGAAGTGGAAACAGAATCTCTCTGACATTTTCCTTCCTTCCTCTTACCTGCTCCAAGGCAAGATTCTATTCTTCCTCAACCTTTCTAATTGTGGATCTTAGACTCTCATTCCAGAGAGGGTACGGCCGCATACCCTGGGGGAAGGAATGCTGATGTCATGAAGCTTCCATAAAACCCAGGAGGACTGGGTTCAGAGAGCTTCTGGATATCTGAACACGTGGAGGTTTCTGGAGGGTGATGCACCCAGGGAGGGCATGGAAGCCCTGCACTTCTTTTCCAATACCTCACCTTACACAGCTCTTCATCTGTATCATTTGTAATATCCTTTATAATAAACCCAGTAAACATAAGTAAGTGTTTTCCTGAATTCTTTGAACTGCTCCAGCAAATTACTCAAACCGCAAGTGGGTATCACAGGAACCCCAACTTGAAGCCAGTCAGTCAGAAGTTCTGGAGGCTGAGACTTGGAATTGATGCGGGACAGCGGCAGTTTTGAGGACTGAGCCCTCACCTTGTGATATGTGATGCTATCTTCAGGTAGATAGTGATGAAATTGAATTAGAGGACACCCAGCTGGTGTCTGCTACTTGTTGTGTGGGAGGAATCTCCCACATTGGGTCACAGATGTCTTCTGTGTTGATTGTCATTGTGGTGTAAGAGTAGAGGAAAAACAGTGAGTTTTTTCCTGAAACGCCCTTTATACCAAGCCAGTCTACTGCTTCAAATACAATGGCTTCCTCCTTTATATTTGAATCAGTAGTTCTCATTGTCTTTTTTGTAACTGAACAAGCCTAATAATTATGAAATATACCCATTATTAATATTCACTAGAATGAATTCTCAGCAGTAGTGAGGGAATGAATAAACCTAGAGAATCACTGCTTTATTAAAAGTTTCCATTACATGGGGTTTAAAGATCTATCTAGGATCAGATAACAGTCAT